>NC_000009.12:99584188-99735703 GCF_000001405.40 Homo sapiens
GGAAGACAATTTTTCCACAGACCAGAATGTGGGGGGATGGTATGGGGATGATTCAAGCACATTACATTTATTGTGCACTCTGTTTCTATTATTATTACATTTAATATATAATGAAATACACACACAACTCATTGTAATGTGACATCAGTGGGAACCCTGAGCTTGTTTTCCTGCAACTAGACAGTCCCATCTGAGGGTGATGGGAGACAGCAACAGATCATCAGGCATTAGATTCTCGTAAGGAGCATGCAAACTAGATCCCTCACATGTGCAGTTCGCAATAGGGTTAGTGCTCCTATGAGAATCTAATACCACTGCTGATCTGACAGGAGGTGGATCTCAGACTGTAATGCTCACCAGCCCACTGCTCACCTCCTGCTGTGGGGACTGGGGGTTGGGGATCCCTGGTGTAAATCACTCAATTTGTGGTACTCTGTTACAGCAGCAATAGAAGTAGCAAAGTATAGGGTAGCAAAGGACTACTATGAGTCAAGAAGCATGATTCCTGCATGGATCAAAAACTGAGGGTTTTCATATCCTTCATTTTGTGTTTTACTTCCAAACATTTGCACTAAGAAAACAATCAGAATTCTCATGAAGGTTTATATAAGAATTTTCATTTACAACATCAAAAAGTTCAATAACAAGGGATTAATACTCAGCCACACAACACAGTACTATGTGGCCATTAAAAAACACTTTCTTTGAAAAATATTCAATAGCTTGGGAAAAGCTGATGATCAAGTTTAAAAAACAGGTTACAAAATAATATATAATTCCAATTTTATAAATGTTGAAAGAAATATATCAGATGTTAATGATGAAATAAAAATTTAAGGTAATTTCTTAAAAAGGTAATGATGGTTACCTTTGTGGGGAAAGATTATGAGAGTTTCTTTGTTTCCTTATACATTTCCATATCTTTCAGAAATGAGCATGAATTACTTTTATAATCAGAAAAAGAAACAATTATGTTAAAAATAAAGCAAGCCCCTCAGGTAACAAGAGCCACAAAATTCATCAAGCCTTTGACTGAATAATCTCATTTATGAAAATATATCCTAAGGAAATAAAAGACAAAAAATCTTTTAAGTGAAAAGGTTTTTGCAGCAATGCTACTTACAATCATTTAAAATGGGAAGCAGCCTGACTATCCAGCAATTTAATTATGATCAAACAAATTATAATATATTTGCTTGATAGAATATTGTGCAGTCATAAAAATAATTAATACAAAGACTAGAAATACAAAAACTACAGAAACGTACAAAGTGAAAAACTGAAGCACAAAATGTAAAATATCTACAATTGTGATTATTCCACTTACGTGTGGATAAAGATAGAAAGAAGAGATAAAAATTATAAATAGGTGCTATGTCAAAGAAAAGGGATTCCAAGAGTAATTTGTATAAAGTTACTTCAATAGTAAATAGAACAATTTCATACAGAGATACACCAGCATATAAGTCAAGAAAACTGAGGATGGAAGACTGGTTGGGAGCACTGGAATTACAACAACAGAAGTAGAAGCAATATCTGTGAGAAAGGGCCCTGGAGACCACCCACACAGGGGCATATATTTTTATTTTTATTTATCAATTGAGCAAATATTTCTTAAGCCCCTTTCCTCACATATGAGTAAAACTGAAATGAAAAACAAGAAAATGACAAACACAAAACTTAGCGTTTGGGTTACTTTTGGGGAGCAAGGAGAAGGATTCCATTGACAAGGGAAACACAGAGACTTACATAAGGATTGACAATTTCTTAGTTTTTAAATTGGGTGGTGGGTACATGAATACTCTTTTTATTATTATTCTGATGTATTACAAGTACTTACAACCATGCTTGGCACATACTGGCTCACCGAAAAAGTTATTTGTAGAATGAATGAAGCTTTTCAGTGGCTCCTTAAATAAAACTCTGTCCTTTACTGTGGCATACAAAACCCTTCAAGAATTGGCTTCTATCAAACCTATAAATTAACACCAATGACTTCCCACCTAATCTATGGCAATTTCTGTTCATTATTCACCACACACACAGGACTCTTTGGTGCCTCTGAGTCTTTGTGTATGCTATTTCTTCTGCCTAGAATGTTTTTCTTCACCAGGAAAACCCTACTCTCAAGGCCAAGTTCACCATAGCTGCTTTGTGAAACCTTGTTGATCTCCCTAATTTCTTTCTCCTCTGCATTCCCATGGTACTTGCCTTATGTGCTGCATCAGAACCAGTAGTGTGTTAATCTATGATAACTCTTACATTGGTGCTATTGCTCACACCATCCTCTCAGCTCCATTATACTTGCAGTAACTGTGAATTAGACTTCTTTAATCCTCTCAACAGATGCAGAGGCTGTGTCCACAGGTCAGGTCAGATGACTCGCTGCATCCAAGTTGATAATAACAGCATAGGACTTGAATATTGGCCTTCAGATTCATGTGGCCTTTGAAGGGATGGGGCTGCCAGAGCAAGAAAGGACAGAAAGAGGCTGAGAGGCTAAAACTGAGGTCTCCAGTGATACAGTGAGCATATGTGAGACGAGAAAGGGCATTTTCATGAGAATTAGGATAGGCCATGAAGGTAAAAATCAGTACAGTTAAGGCATATAAGTTATACTTGTAAAGTAGAAGGTAGAATGGAATAAAAGGATGAGCACCAAAAAAAGTCAATGAATTCAAGAGAATAAATCCTACCTCTTACCAAGAAGGTCCAATATAGGAGACTAGTTTCTGTGGTCTCTAAAGTAAGAAACATATCCTATTTTTCTTTCATTTTGAGTTCCTAGAATACAGCCTGGCAACAAAAAGAGACTCAATATGTTGAATTAATGAATGAATGAAAGGATGTGTTACTAAGAAACACAATTAGTTTTTAGCTTTCTTACAACTATATCGTTTTAGCCACTTAGCCCTATTAGTCCAAGGTGACTGAACATTCATTTCTTTTGTATTTAATAATTTAGATCCTAAAATACTTTTGGGTTTGCTCAAAGCCCAAACAAAATATTAATTTGTTTGAACCAGTTAACATGTATTTAGGCAGTAAACTAGATTTGGAATGTGTTAGACAAGAGACACCTGCTCTATCTTTTGTAATATTCCTGACATTTAAGACATACACAACACCTGATTTGAAATATAAAAAAAAAAAAAAATCCTCATGCCAAAAAGTCACAGATCCAAAAACCTATACAACATGAAGCTTTGACTTGCCGTGAAGAGGTGGCTCTAATGAAGGTAAGACTAATGGAGCAAAAAAGACACTATTGGAAAACTCAAAGGCCCTTGAAACCATCCCATAGAACCCCAATGGCTGCCCACTTTTTAAGTCGATCCTATTATAGAAAGTCTGTTTTTGGAAGATTGGTCATTAGGCAAATAGGCATTCAGTGAATTTGTTTCCTCAAATTAATTCTTAGAGAACTGACCTTGGGCCATGGCTCTATATTGAGACTAGGCACTGTGTGCGGTTTCAAAGCCTGGCCTGTTGAGGCCATCAGTAATTCTTGACTGACCATGGTCCCAGGATATATATCAGGCAAAATACAGGTCTACATTCAGATACACTGATAAAAAGACAATGTTTGCAATAAGAATTGACTTAAAGAATGTGCCAAGAGGTGCCAATCATGGAAAGGACTAAGGGTCTTGCCCCAATTACTTCTCTCTGTGCCCCTTGTATGTTTTATCTTAGCCAGGGAAGGATGTGGACAGCAATTCCCATTAAAGAACCAGGGCTGGATCTCCCATTTGACAGTTCCCATATGCATTCACTCTGATGGACTTTGCCATCCCCTGACCCAAACCTCATTCATTCATTCAAAAAATATTTATCAAGTGTCTATACTCTGTTATAGGAGCTTGGAGATGCACTGGTGAACAAGACAAGCAAGGTCTGAGTTGTTACTAAGCTTACATTCTAGAAGGAGAAAACAGTAAGAAGGAAATATCAGTACCTAGAGAGGATGAAGCCCATGCAAGTCTTTGCTTCTGTAGTCCACAAGGTGTTTAGTCTTTATTCCATCATCTGGTGACACTAAACAAACACCTGCCATTAAACTAGACCAAACAGCAGACCTATTCAAACTCTCAGCAGTCCCTAGGAGAATTTGATTATAGGAAGTGGACCAGGAAGAATATCTCTATTTGGTCCAATTTCCAAATAGAAATTCGCAGTGTTTGATGAATAATGAATGTGAATAATTAATGCATCTGAGAAAGAAAAATTTCTTACCTGTCAGTTACTTATCTTGGAGATTACACATCCATCACTACTCCCCCGAGGGGCTAGACTCATCTCCATAGAAACTGGGGGCAATCTGAATGTTAATTATGCCTCAATGCCAGTTTTGCTGCTCAGAATGTGACTCACCAGAAGACCTTCTAGGACTTTGTTCTGAAAAGTAGAGAACTTAATTTATCTGACACATTTTTTAAAGCCCCAAATAAAGAAGTATCTTAATAAGCATAAGAAACTATCAAAAGTCTGGCTCTGTGTGTGCGCACATGTAGGAAAGTTACTGTGGTCTGAATGTCTGTGTTTCCCCCCAAATTCATGTGTTGAAACCTAATTCACAATGCAATAGTATTAAGACCTGGGGCTTTTGGGAAGTCATTAGGCCAGGAGGATGGAGTCCTCATGAATGAGATAGGTGCTCTTACAAAAGAGGCTTGAGGGAGATTGTTCACGCCTTCCACCATGTGAGGATGCAGCCAGAAGGCACTATCTGTGAGCCCTCACCAGTACCAAATCTGCTGACACCTTGATTTTGGACTTCCTAACCTCTAGAACTGTGAGCAATAAATTTCTGTTGTTTAAAAATTACTTAGTCTAAAGTATTTTGTTACAGCGCTCAAGCAGACTAAGACAAAAGGATTACACAGAAGCACATGCATCTTTTGGGAAAGAGATTGATGAGAAGAAATTCAGCTTTGATTTATTGGTAACATAAGTGCCAGCACCTAGAGAAATGACTAACATATTGTAGATGTTAACTGCATATTACTGTTATTTTTGAATGTTATGTGGAATGTTATTGAATGAACTACTAATTCTGTGCTGTGAGGATATAACAATTCTCATTTTTATGGCGACATTGTTCAAATGTCCCTTTTATATACATTCTACAAAATATCCTTTTTATATACATGACTTTATTTTTATATACATTATTTTATTTCATTTTATATACATCAAAAATGAGATAATAACATATTATTTGAAATAATAACATAATAATGAAATAGTAACAACCTAAAATACAGCTACAGGCCCACAATACCTTGTTCATAATTTTTTTCTAAAACTCTGAAAACCAAAAGTTCTGGGAAAACTCATGTAATGACAAAGCCTCTTCATAGTCTTTGTCCCATTTACTTGACTATGATACATTTTGATGCAGAAATAGTAACGTGTTTCGTTTTGAAGGGCTTCCCAGGTCTTACTTGGTTTGTTTCAATTTATGCATCATATGCAACATATTACCTTTCTAAAATCTAAAAAATTCTGAATTCCAAAACACATCTATCTGCAAGAATTTTGGTTAGACTCACATTGTCATCCCAATTTTATAATTGGGGTCCTTTGGTTCAGAAAAACTAAGCAATTTACTCAAGATCATGGAGCTTTTTGGTTCATGGATTGAACCAAAGTTCTCTGATGCAAAATCTTTTTTCTTCTACTATACCAGCACTTCAATTAATCTGCAATTGAGCATTGAGATAATTGTCTGTCTTATGAACATAAAAGGGCTAACGTTGGTCAGAGACTGTGCAGATTTAGTCATTGCAGTGGAGGCTGAGGAAGAACAAATTGCACAGGGCCTGGGGATGGGGGTGGGGTAGGGAGGTCTCATGTGGAGAAACCTCTGCTACCTGAAGGAAATGATTTCTAAAACTTAATCTCATTCTCCAGTGCTAAAGTGCGGTACATGAAGTAGGAGCTGACCAATGATCATTCTGTAGACATCTTGTGAATAAATTAGACGTAGATGCGACCTAAGATAGTACTATAATGCCACATCTATTTTTTCTAATCATGGGTTTTTTATTTGAAGTTGAGTGTTACCAGATCTCTTTTGTGGGGAGAGAGTAAGAGACTAAATTATAAGGTTGGCACTTGTATCAGTCAGGAAAATATAGGTTATGCTGTAGTAACAAATAACCCACAAAGCTCTGTGGCTTAAAACAGTAAAGATTTATTTCTTTTTTATGTAACATCCCTATCACAAGAAATTAGGGGAGGCTCCACTCATTGTAGCCACTCTGGGACTTGGGATGACAATGCAGCCACAATCTCACATATGGTTAGCTACACAACAGAAGGAAAGAGAATCAATAGCTTGCCCTGGCTCATTAAGGATCTGCCTGAGAGTGATACATTGTCACTTCCACTCAGTACAGTTCATTAGTCAAAATGAGTAATTGAGCCACACCTAACAGCAAGTGGGCAGGAAATACAAAATTCATGAATACTGAGATTTTCAATAAATTGGTCTGTCCAATAAATATTTCCTTGAGTGTCTGCTAGTGCCCAGCCCTGTTCTATGCACTAGAGATTAAAAATTGTGTTAAATGCCATGAAGAGAAAGAAAGCAGGATAAGGGGAATTGAGTGACAGGGCTGGGGAGGGAGAGGAGAAAACAAGGCCAGGGAAGAATTCTCTAAAGCAGAGACCCAGAAGAAAACAGAAGGAAGAGGCTGGGTAAGGGAGATTCTGCCTTTAAGGCAGAAACAAGACATCATGAACCCAAATCTCAGGAAAATCCAGAATGATTCTCAAAATAGAGACAGAGAGGTGAAACATCAACCAGTATGTACTGGTGGGGCTGAAACAGCCCAGCTCCTTTTCTTCCAGCCTTGTAAGACACGTCCCACTTCCTTCTTTTTCTGACTAAAACAACACATGTGACAGAACACTTCCTTTTTCCCCATGGTTAAGCAGCATGCAAAGGAGCTTTACTTCAGGAGAGAATGGCAATGGGCAATTGTTTGGTAAACAAATGATCCCCCATTTATTGAGCAAAATCTGTATTTCAGGTGTCTTAGTTGTTTTACATACTTTATTTCATTGAGTAGGGTTGTTGTAAAAAGGATAAATTATATAGGATTATTATTACCATTTTATAGATGAAAATATATGAAGAGAGGTAACTAACTTTCTGGGGTGGGGGTGAAACAGATATTTCATGGAAAAGGTAGACTCTGGCTCCCAAGCCTGTGCTCTCAATTACTATGAAACATAGCAAACTGTAGCCTTTTTGAAAGAAAAATTTGAGAAAATCCACATGTTCACCTGAATTGTTTCATAATTTAAAGATAGAATTGCCGCTATCACAGGAAGAAGGAACATTATCTAGACCTCTTTGCTAGATTATTCCTTTTCTGGAATAATAATAATTATTACTATAATTAATAATTATTATTTAGTATTATTCCTCTCCTGGAATAATAATCAGATTGAATTTATTTGCTTCCCATATTAATTATTTTTATTAATATATTTTCCTAGTATTAATTATTACTTAATAAATGTAAATTTTTGAGAGTGAGAATGTTTCAAAATGTGGGATCAATGGTAAAAATCAGATTGAATTTATTTGCTTCCCACCGCTAGAAAGTAAGCTCCACGAGTGTCCACTTTTTTCTCACTTTTATTCTCATGCCTTCCACCATAGAAAAGCACTTTACATACAATTAGTAATTATAAATGAATGGTTAGAATGAATGAATGAATGAATGAGTGAATGAGTGAATGAATGAATAGGATAATTCAGGAAAAGTTCTCTTACTTGAGCAGGAGATCTTAATCTGGGGTACATTAATGGACTTGGGGGTCTCTTTCAATGCCTTGAAATTACATGCAGTTTTGTGGGGAGAAGAGTGTGTTTGTGCATGTCATCAGATTTTCAAAGAAGGCAATAATCCACAAGAGTTAAAACCACTCTGTGTGGCATATTCATACAATGGAATATTATTCAGCTCTAAAAAGAAATAAAGTTCTATACATGCTACAACATGGATGAAGGTTGGAAACATTATGCTAAGGGAAAGAAGTCAGACACAAAAGACCCACATTCTGTATGATTCCACTAATATGAAATGCTCAGAAAAGGAAAATCCATAGACACACAAAGTCAACTGGCGGTTTGCCAGAGGCTAGAGGGGGAGTAGAGGGTAGAATGAGGAGCAATTGCTTAATAGGTATAGGATTTTATTTGGGGTGACGAAAATATTCTGGAACTAGATAGTGGTAATGGTTGCATAACACTGTGACTATATTAATAGCCCTGCATTTTACATCTTAAAATGGTAAGTTTAATGTGAATTTTACCACAAAGTTAATAATAATAAGAAAAAAATTAGTTTATGAATAAAGGAAAGAAGCAGAGTCAAATTATTTCATACATCTAACAGGATGGATGGTGGAATATGAGTCTGAGAAGTTGTCAGTTACAATCTAATATTCTAATAATATTTGGAATGAGAATATTTACAACACTAGGAGTAACAACTTTCATTTGTTTCAGGTTTTGCAGTTTTGAACAACTTTCCAAATGCATTATTTAATTTAACTGTTAGAAAAAAACTTGTGAGATAGCCAGGGTACATACAATTTCCTGATTATCTCTACTTTAAAAATGAGAATGATGAGGCTGAGAGAAGTTAAGTCATTTTCCTAAAGTCACATAGCTACCAAATGGTAAAATGAAACTCTAAACCCAGGTCTGCCTGTGCTTTTGACAATTTGGTTCCTCCAGCTCTTTTCAACCTTCCACATCTTTCCAGAAATCACAAGTGTTCCTGTGGTCGGCCTCCCCACCCAGGTGAGAGAAAATGTCACGTGTCTTCTCTTATGTCTGGAATGACATCATCTCAATGTGGTCACACTGGGTACCTCACTGTTATCAGAACTTCTGACTAGAAATTATAGAAATCTATGGTCAATGAAAATACTAGGAAAAGCTGCGTTTTTCTAATGTTAATTATTACTTAAGCAGTGTTTTTCCTAGTATTAATTTTTACTTAATAAATGTAAATTTTTGAGAGTGAGAATGTTTCAAAATGTGGGATCAATGGTAAAAAAAAAAAAAAAGTTTTTAAAGCTAGTGAATGAAACTACAGATCTTGTCCAACTTCCTCATCTTACCAATGAGAAAAATTGGCACAAAGAGGTTAGTGGCTTATCTGAGATGACACAGAGAGTTAGTGTCAGAGGTAAGAATGAAACTCAAGGCTTTTAAATGCTCAATAAAAGCACAAGGTAGCCAGCCTTCCAACAGAGTACCTCAGAAGAGATCATTTAGTCTGTGTATTTAGCAGTCCAAGAATAAGCTGACGTTTACTGTGAACACAGAAAGAATTAGGGATTCAGTGGTAATAAATGACCTAAATGTTTAAAATTGGCCTCAAATGAATCCATTTTCTACCTCTTGTTGTTTCCACTGTGCTGAAGCACAATGACGTAGTGACTTTATAATTTTAGCCAGGAGTGGCCAATTATCCAGAACTTGCCAGTCCTATTTTGTAAACACAGTTGGTAGCTGGGTGAATAATGCAGGGTTGTAGTGTCATTTTCAGGCACGGAGATACAGCCTTAGAGATCTTCCAGGCTGGGTTTCCCCAACCACAGTCAGCTGACTGCCAGGGAGGAATGTTTACTGCCCTGGGCAGGTGGGCAACTCCACCTTCCTCCTCAGAGAGACACTTTTGCTTGGCTCCCCTCCCCTCTGAGGTAGGGTGGAGGTGTGCAATCAATGTTTCCAAGAAACAGCATTAGCCATCTTGGGGGAGAAATGGGGGAGAATACTCAAAAGAAGACCTGTTAGAACAAAATTAATTTAGCAAAGCTCCTCAGTGTCTGCTTTGAGCTGGAAGGAAGATGTTCAAAATCATGTAAATTAAACCTTCACTCCCCCCATGAAGAAACTCAGGCCAGAGAATGGATGTGACTTGCCCAGAGTCACAAAGTCAGGATGTAGTAATCAAGGCCAGCCTGAGATCCTCCAAATTCCAGGCCAGTGCCTTCTCATACCTCTTCATATTCTCAGTCATTCTCTTTTAGATAAAATAACCATGATTCATAACACATCAATGCCACATTAGGCATTGAATATACTCCATATTCTGCATGATTCCTCAGATATATTTCGACTCATATGTGCAAGGTTAGGGGTTTTTGTCCTATGCACCCATATCTCTTAAGGACAAGTACAGGGCCTGTCTTGTAGTGTGTGATCTGTTTAATGGCAACATGGATGATACGGATGAGGCAGTGTTGGGTTATCTCGTGACACACCATCCTTTCCTTGGAGTGACAAGCCTTCTCTTGTTGTCCACTTTACATTCCTTTTTTCCACCTGTTGAAATTTTTCAAGCCCCAGTCAAAAGCTGCCTTCTGTTATCTCTAGTGGAAAGGAAACTGCCAAGACTCTGACATCAGACAGCCTTGGAGCTGGGTGCTACCTTGACTACTGCTAATGCATGACGCAGGCAAGTTACTTAAACTCTTTGAGGTTCCAAATAACCCATTGTCAAAGAGTTAATAATACTGACCTCATTCAATTTTCCTGTTGGAAAAAAAAAATGGGTAAAATTCCCAGCATAGCATGTGCCACATAATAGCTTCTGTTTTTAAAGAAGTTTTTAATTAACAAGTAAAAAATACATATATTTATGGTGTACAACATGTTTTGACATATGTATACATTGTGGAATGGCTAAATTAAACTAATTAACGTACACATTACCTCACCTACTTTTGTGGTGAGAATACTCAAAATCTACTCTGTTAGCAATGTTCCAGTACACAATATAGTCACCATGATGCACAATAGATCTCTTAACCTTATTCCTCCTGTCTAACTGAAATTCTGTGTCCTTTGACCAACATCTCCTCAATCTCTCTAACCCCAGTCTCTGGTGACCACCATTTTACTCTTGGTTTCTATGAGTTCAACATTTGTAGATTCCACATATAAGTGGGATCATATTGTGTTTGTCTTTCTGTGCCTGGCTTATTTCACTTAACATAATGTCCTCCATGTTTATTTCATTTTGTTACAAATGACAGCATTTCCTTCTTTTTTAAGGCTGAATAGTATTCTACTGTGCCTATACAGCACATTTTCTTTATCCATTCTTATGTTGATGGACACTTAGGTTGATTCCATGGCTTGGCTATTGTAAAGAGTGCTGCAGTGAATATGGAAGTGCAGATATCTCTTCAACACACTGATTTCATAGACTTTGTATATAAATTAACAGATGTTAATTCCCTTCACCCGGGAGAAGCCTTCCTCCTCAGGGTCCCATGGCTCTTTGCTTACTCTTCATGTGTTTATTATGCATCATTTCATAGGTTATCAATGACCTTGGAACACTTCTATCTTTCCACTAGAATATAAACTTTCTTAAGGGCATTACTAGGTCAGACAAATCTTTGCCTTTGCCCCACCAGGATTTCCTACAGCATCTAAAACAATGCCTAGCACAAATCTGACACACAAAATTTATTTTTGTAAAACTGGATGGTAGTGTCTGTGTGTGGTGGTGATGGGGCTGAGGGCATACTATAAAATACCTTTAAGAGTATTTGTCTGCAAATAACAGCCCTCTTCTGTTGTCTTATGTATTTCTGTATGTTATGTCTTCTATTTTTCCTCTAGGATTAGGTAGCTGGGTTCATCAGTGACACCCTTTCATTGCATGTGAGCATCTGAAGAGCTGACAGTCCCTCTGAGAGGGACCAAACTGCGTTTCTGTGTTGTCTCGTCATGCTCCCACCAAGAGGAAGTGGTATTTCAGGGACAGCAGATGACAGGGTGACATCACCCTTCTCCGTCAGTGCTCATTTCGTTTCTTCAATTTCAATGAAGACATGACAGAAAAGGTTGTTCCCTTATCATAGGGTGGCCTCTCTGTCTTATTTATTAGCGAAAATAAGGAAGGTTCCCCTTCACCCTGCCCTTCATTATAGAGCTTCCCATTTCAGTCCTTACCTTTTGGCCTGACTTTCTGGAAGAAGTAAAGGCCAGTAACTGAAACTCAAATATTATATTCATAGATCCTTCCTTCCATCATCCATCCATATCATAATCTAAAGGAATAAAAGAACTGTAAAATTTTTTAACAGAGTCAGGGTATTGAAGCTTATGCATTCCCAAGAAAACAATTAAGGTTAACAAGTATCTGTAAAGTATGATTACCAGGCAACATTTATGGAGCTTTTATTATGATCAAGTCACTGTCCTTTATGTTTGAGTATCTTGTCCGCTCCTCATCAAGCCCTATGTGGAGGGTAGTATCACTAGAGAGAGTAAGTAATCTGCCAAGATCCTGTGGCTAGTAAGGGGCAGGGCTGAGATTTAGACCTGTGTTTGTCTCAAGAGGCAGCATTCATAATAATTACCTATACTGTCTCACCCATCTGCACCTGTTGTAGTAACAGAATGCTCTCAACAATTATGTTACTGCTACTGGGGCAGCGTAACACACTCAAAGTCACTGAGTCATGAGTTAGTGATCTGGAGGTAAATAATTCATATCTCCCTCCCTCAAGAAGAAGCTAACAATTTTTTTAAAGTACATGCATATACAAACATATGTATCTACACACATGTATACATATGCATTCTATATATAGAGAATGCATGTGTGTACATATATATGATTATAATTATAATATAGAGTGACTTGATGCTGTATTTATGCTACAAACAAATGGCTATAGAAACTCCCAAGAGGCAGAAATAAGTTTTAAGTTGAAATCTGGGTAATGGAAAGAACTGAATATCTAATCTATACCAGAAGTTATTCTAGGTGCTTTCACATGGATGATCTTATATCATTTTACTTAACTACAAAATACCTCTGTGTGATAAGTGGGTAGTATTACCCCCATTTTACAGATGTGGAAAGCGGGTGCTCATATAATAAGAGCAAACACCTATTTAACACGTACTATATATTAGGCACTGTTGTAAACATTCTACATGAATTGATTCATTTAAACTGCATAACAGTTCAACTACACAGATGCAAAGATCGTTTTTAAGATGAGGAACCTGAGGTCTAGAGTGCTTAAGTCATTTACCCAGGGTTTTGTCACCAATAAGAGGTGACATCAGGTGGAGGGACTCCTGGGTCCTTGCTCTCAACCATTGTATTATTGCTGCTGAGGCAGAGTAACATGCTCAAAGTTACCAGCTGAAAGGCGCACAGCCAGGGTTTGGCTCCTGTCTGTCTGTCTGTAATAAAGACAATACTCTTTCTAAAAATTTGTTATAAAATATTTTATACCAGAAAAAGAGACTGGAAATGTAGGTTGGAGTAAAGTGCTCTAAATGCCATAGTAATGAGTGAGAACTCAGTCTATGTCAAGGGATGCCCTCAAAAGCATTTTGAGCAGAAAATCAAAATGCAATATATTTAAGTCTGCATTGAGGAAAAAAAACTAACTAGAATGTACAGAACAAATCAGATGGAGTGAGGCAGAAAATAACAAAACCTATTAGGAGGATGCTGCAATAGTCCCAGGAGACATGAGGAAGGTGTGATTAAGAAAAGGGTCACAGTAAACTGAGAATGGAGGGGGAGGGGTGTTCAAGACAATTTTTAGAGATGGCATTGGCAGGACTTATCCAACATGCAGAAGAGGTACAAGCCCAAGAAAAACCCAAAGTTTCTAACTTGAGTGATTAAGGCAAAGACGATGCTCTTAAATGGTTTGGGTAACACCGCAGGAGAAGAAATTTTAGTCATGTTGTGTTTCCAGTGCCTGTAAACCCCTTAGTGAAGCAAACCAGAAGATAGACATTACAAGAATTAAGAATTATTTAATATCCTAGTAAGAATCTAGTAAGAATTTAGTAAGAATTATTTAGTGTTCCAGTCTCTGGCTTCCTAAGAAACCTTTGGGGTTGAAGAAATGAATCTGATCTTTGGAAGCTGTTTTAGCTAATGAAGCAGCATATACAACCTGTGTTCTGCAACAGCACATACAAAGGATGTCATTAACAGGCATAGCGTCTCCTTAGCCACACCAATATGTCTTAGAACCTTCAAGTTAAAGGAAACAGGTGGTAAATTGTGCACACTTCCCCGAGTACCAGCTATAATTCCAAAATAAGATCTCTTCTTAAGAATTTCTGGCCAGGTGCAGTGGCTCACACCTGTAATCCCAGAACTTTGGGAGGCCGAGGCGGGTGGATCACCTGAGGTCAGGAGTGCAAGATCAGCCTGGCCAACATGGTGAAACCCCATCTCTACTAAAAATACAAAAAAATTAGCCGGGCATGGTAGCGTATACCTGTAATCCCAGCTACTCAGGAGGTTGATGCAGGAGAATCGCTTGAATCTGGGAGGTGGAGGTTGCAGTGAGTAGAGATCACACCATTGCTCTCCAGCCTGGGCAATAAGAGTGAAACTCCATCTCAAAAAAAAAAAAAAAAAAAGAATTTCTACTGACAGGAAAATGTTTGGGATATAGGATATAGTCAGGTTAAGTGAAAAAAGCAGAGAAGAAAAAATTAATAAAATGTTTTCCCAAAAAAGTTAACATATATGTACATGAATACACAGTCATGCATTGTGTAAAAATGTTTTGGTCAACAATGGATCGCATATACGACTGTAACGAGATTATAACGGAGCTTAAAAATTCCTATCGTCCAGTAATGTCTCAATTATCCTGACCCTGTGTAGACCTAAGCTAATGTGAGTACTTGTGTCTTAGTTTTTAACAAAAGAGTATAAAATGTAAAAACCAAAAAATATTTTAAATGAAAAAGCTGATATAATAAGGATATAAAGAAAGGAAATTTTGTACAGCTGTCCATGTGTTTGTGTTTTCAGCTGTTATTTCAAGAGTCATAAGTTTAAATAAATTACAAAGTTTATAAAGTAAAAAAGTTACACTAAGCTAAGGTTAATTTATTATTGAAGAAAGACCATTTAAAAAAATAAATTTACTGTAAGTGTACTTAGCCTAAGTTCACACTGTTTATAAAGTCTACAGTAGTGTACAGTAGTAGGCCTTCACATTCACTCACTACTCATGCAAGCTCCATTCATGATAAGTGCCCTGTAGAAGTGTACCATTTTTTATCTTTTATACAGTATTTTTACTGTAAATTTTCTATGTTTAGAATACAAATACTTACTATTGTGCTGCAATTGCCTACAGTATTCAGTTCAGTAACATGCTATACAGGTTTGTAGCCTAGGAGCAATGGTAGGTGTGTAATAGGCTATACCATCTTGTGTAAGTATACTCTATGATGTTCCCACAATGACAGAATTGCCCAAGGACACATTTCTCAGAACATGTCCCTGTTGTTAAGCCATGCATGACTGCATATACATAAATATACAATATATACTATATGTATACATATATTCATATACACATATATACTACACATAGAATAAACACTAGAGGAAATGTACCAAAATATTAACATAGGTCCTTTACTAAGTGATTATTTATTGAGCACCTATAATATACCAGGCATTGTGTAATTCATTAGATATGGTGAGAAAAAATGGACCTAGTTGCTGCCCTCATAGAGTTTACGGTTTAGGGGCTAAGCCTAAGATAAGAATTTAAAGACATTATACTTGGGAAACAGCCTGAGTCCAGAATCCTTTTGGTCTTTTATAGTTGGCTGAGTTCTTGCTTTCAGTCTTCTTGTTACTGTTCTGTAGGGATAAAGTAATGTGCCCAAAATTACCACCTAGAAAGGAGCAGAGCCAGGATTTGGATCATATCTGTTCGATACCAAATTGACACCAATTCTTTTAGTGACTCACCATTATCAAGTGTTTCTAAGACATTCAACTTAGTTTTCATAGAAATGATTCTCTTTTGGCAGGGCATGGTGGCTCAAGTCTGTAATCCTAGCACTTTGGGAGGCCAAGGCGGGTGGATCACGAGCTCAGGAGATCGAGATCATCCTGGCCAACACGGTGAAACCTCGTCTCTGCTAAAAAAAAAAACGCAAAAAATTAGCCGGGCATGGTGGCAGGCACCTGTAGTACCAGCTACTCAGGAGGCTGAGGCAGGAGAATGGTGTGAACCCAGGAGGCGGAGCTTGCAGTGAGCCGAGATCGCGCCACTGCACTCCAGCCTGGGCGACAGAGTGAGACTCTATCTGAAAAAAAAAAAAAAAAAAAAAAAAAAAAAGATTCTCTTTTGCACTCATATTTCATTTATTTAGATAGTATATAGTTAAATTCTACAATTACAACAACAAATATAATTGGCATTTCCATATTTGTGAATGAACACAAGTGATTCTTGGTGAGCAGGGACTCACCCAGGGTGGGCACAGGTGCCTGAGCCCACTGGCTGCCAGCATTCAGTGTGCCATGGGCATTGATTGGCATAATTTAAACAAGTAATCAAGAGTATATGTCAATCTAATAAGTCAAGTAAATGGAAATTGATTAAAAGAACATATACTGTGCCATATTTCTGGTCACACAACTTGAGATTGCCATAACATTAGGCAGTGAAATCATATTGATTTCCCTGTCAGCTGAAACATTATTTTCATCATTATTATATCTACCTCTAAGTCACAATTTAGTACTTGTTTAGGGCTGAGCTATCTGCCTCCCAAAATGTATATGCTGAAGTGCTTAACCCCTGGCACCTCAGAATATGACTCTATTTGGAGATATGACCTTTAAAGAGCCAATTAAGATAAAATAGGGTCACAAGAGTTTGGCCCTGATCCAATATGACTGGTGTTTTTATAAGAAGAAGAGATTACAAAACACACACATGCAGACTGAGGGGTGACCATGTGAGGACATAGCAAGAAGTTATTATCTACAAAGCCAAGTGAAGAGACTTAGAAGAAACCAAACCTACTGACACCTAGATCTTGGACTTCTAGCCTCTAAAACTGTGAGAAAATACACTTCTATTGTTTAAGCTATCCGATCTTTGTTATTTTCTTACGGCAGCCCTAGCAAACTAATACATTATCTCAATGACTGCCACATGTTCAGCATTCAAATATTGATTAAATGAATGAGTGATTAATAAGTATATCTTTCCCTCATCTTCGATTTTTGTAGTTGACTTTTTGGGATCCCTACTACAGAAACTAAAATAATAATAATAATAGTAATATGAAGAAGAAGAAGTATGTGTGTGCTCTAGTTATCCGCCAGTTCTGATATTTTAAGAATAGAGAGTATATCTTCTTTTTCATCCATTCCTAACTCTTGATTCTAGGACTAGGTAAAGGAGTTCCTATAAGTTCCAATTTAGGAACATGTTCAAATGATCAGAGTTAAAATCCCAGTGCTATTAGAACATAGCCAGTCCTCAACTGCTTCTTGAAAGCCTTAAATTTCCTTGTGCTGGGCAACTGAGTCTCTTGGGGCTTTGCTGAGGCCCCTGGTGCAACCAGACAAGGCTGGGATGTGAAACGGCCAAGAAAATTGTCAGGCAGCCAAGAAAACCTCCAAAGCCTTTGATATATAGCATATGAGGTCATGGGAACCAAGGCTGAACTTTCTCCCTCCATTCTCCCTAAGGACACGAATTAAGGTACCCAAAGAACCTGACACAGCACCTGGCTATGCTCTTAGCAACATAAGCACAAAACTAGGAATGGTAAATTACCTGGATTGCTAGTGCTCGCACAGAGTGGCAGAGCCCACCCAACCTTCGAGAGTCCCTGGCCCAGCCTTCTTGTTTTGAAAGGAAGGAAATTGAGGCCCAGAAAGGGGAAAGGTCTATCCCTGCTCTTGTCATCATCATTCATTAAGCCTTTGCAATATAAACCAAAGACAAAGTTAAACGCTTCAATCTTTTATATTGTTACTTTTTAAAGAGAATTTCCTCCCCAGCGTCCCTAATGAGCAGCCACTAATCTTTGTCCAAACACTTCTAGGAAAAAGGAACTCACTGTTTCTTGGGGCAGCTAAGTCATCTTTGAACAAATTTAATTGCAGGGTATTTTTTCTAATTGAGCCCAAATCTGCCTCCCTGCATCTTCCACCAATAAGTTCTTATTATGCCTTCTTAACTATTGTGGAATAAATCCAACTCCTCGTCTCCATAATGGCCTTCATATATTTTAAGATGAAGAGGACTTTTAACAGTATCTCACAGGTCATGGTTTCAGCTCTGTATTCATCCTTGTCACTAACGTCAACTGGTTTTAAACCTCGGAGAGTAGGTCAATGACACGTCAACAAACAGAAATATAACATTCTAATAAATAAACTTTGGTCCTTTGATTTGGAATGAAATCATCTGTGAATCACCCCTAAATGGTGGGAAAGGTGGAACGGGGTTGCTTACTGATAAAGAGAATCCTTCAATCCTTCCCTGAATAACTCCTAGGCCTATTGCAGGAAGCCCTGACCAAGTCTTCCCTGGCTTCCTACCTACACACTGGCCATTGCTCTGCCTGCCTCTTGCCATCTCAGCCCTGCCACTTTTGCCCTCAATTCTCCAGTAGGTCTTGGACTGAATGGGTGGAATGACAATCCATGAGTCCTTAAGCATCTGCCAAACTCCTTCTAAGGGAAGCAACCCCACCCTTTCTCTTGCTATTCTCCTCCCAATACACTTGAAGTGAAACCAATACTTCTACCCTCATCATGGCTGATTGGAATAAAAAACAGTTATTGCTAAGGATCTTCCATGAGCTGGACTCATAAAGACCAACTACCCAACAGACAGCTCTTTACTGAGGGAAACTTGGCAAGCTGACCCAACCAAATCTTTGTTGGAAAACAAAATGAGCCAAATAAACAGATAAGTGGGGCCATCAGACTTTAGCAGTTCTCTTGAACTGCTTCTTATGACTGGACAGGAAATGTGTATTGAAGAAATGGAAGCTGGGTGACTGAGTGCTTGATGAAGGGACATTCCAATATTTCTTACAATAAACCTGCATGTCTAATATGGAAACTCAAGAGTGGAAGGTTTTTAAGTCTTTTGTCCCTACTGCCCCTCTCCCACCAAAAGTTGAAGGGCAAGGTGTTTACATAATTCTTCCTCCATATTTAGGACATTCATAGTAGGGATTTGATTTTACCTTGTCTGGTAAATGAAATTGATGTAGGCTGAACTGTTTAATGTGGGCTCTAGATACAGGGAGGACATAAAAGGATTTAAAATTCTTTGAGGTTCAGGCAAGTCTGAATGATTGCAGATATCTTAAAAAACAAATAACTTGTTGAGAACTTCTTCAAGAAAGAAGATACTGCCCCCAGAAAAGTACAGAACCAGAGCTTCCTCTCTGTACTCTTTTGTTGTGTTCATTTTGAGATGTGACAGGGAGGAGGGATGGGCTTAAGAGTGGAAAGAATAAGCCCTAACTCCAGAATCTTTTCCTTTTCCAGAAATAAATACCTTGCTTTCCATATCTCCAGATATGATTTATGTGAGATGTGTTCCAATAAGATTGGGTTTAGATAAAAGAAGTTATGCAGCAAGTTAATTCAACAACTGTTCAATGCACTGGAGATGCAGTGATAACTAGGACATGGTTCTTGCCTTCATAGAGTTTATAATCAAATGATATTTGCAGCTCCTTAAATTGATTTGCAAAGAGATATCTCTATAAAATGTAGTGAGGGAGTAAAATAATCAGTCATACACTGAATATCTACATACACCTTGCCCTGGGTACCCCCTATCAGGAGGGAGTGGTGTAAAAAAGATACATAAAATGTGGACTCTGAGCTGCAAATCTCACTGGAAAAATAAGATGCACACGGGACTTTTAGCTACAAATCTCATTGGAAAATAAGATACACATGGGAAACTGTTGGCCAACAGAACAGTTTAAAATAAAGAGTTAGATTGAGTGGTACAGATGTTAATAACTAGAAAATCCACAATAAAATGTTAAGTATAAGGTCCTGGCAACAAATTTTGAAGTCGTTTAAGGAAAGATGGATACAGAGTAGAGATAGCAACAAAGGTTTTATAGAGAAAGTGGTACCGGAGTTAGGTCTCTAAAGATGAGTGAGGGATGGGGGACGTTCTGGGCAGAAGTAAAGTTATGGAGGCAAAAAAAAGAACCTGACAGTCACTTGTAGGGATAACAGAGGAGAACCAATTAAATACCCACAAATCGTGAATGTTATAAAACAAAGCCAAACAATTCAGATCACACCTAACAAACAAAATTATAATAGAAATACCATGTCTGCTCCCCAAACACATGCACATTCTAACACATTCTTGGAAAGAGTGCTGTAACGTTGATTTATATCTGACAGTCCAAGTAAAAAATGAAAGAGCTGCCAAATCTGCCTATATAAATCCTAGTGATTTCACATGTTTTCATCCTATGAACTGAAGGCAGAAAAAGAGATTTAAGCCTTTGAGACAGCAGACAATAAAATGGTACCCTAGTGAAGCTTCTCAGAGGAGCCACTAGAATCATATTTATCATGTCTAAGACTGACATTAATTCTAATGTGCAGACACTCTTCAGAATTCAGATGCACAATATTAAATAACTCTTAACAAGTGAATTTATTGAGTTATGTGGAGGTACATTGAGTTGTACAGGGGGACCTTATAACTGCAATATTACACAGAATCAAACACTGCACGGAAGCCATGTTCAACTTCTTTTGTCAGCAGCCAGATGATTGACAAGACCCTCCTTCAAAATCTTCCTGGACAAAAGTGTTTCTTTTTGCCTTGTGCTGTCAAACCCTTGAGTTGCAAATGCCTTGAGCAACTGATCAGAAGCAAAACTATTACCTAAATAAGAGATGTTTGGGCCATGCCTATTGGTAACTCTGGCTGGCCCATGTAAAGGAGGAGTGATCCTCTGTCTTGGTGAGATTACAAATCCACATCTCTAAATGTCAGATGAAAACATCATTACTGCTGCATCCTTGCCCTTATGAAGAACATCTACTGCCTCCTAGCCCTTACCTGAGAGCTCCAATTATTAGCTAACAAGCCAATGCTCTGATCAAACTCCCAGCCAGGCTAAGAATCCCAGGCACGTGGACCTCTGGGGCAGAGCCAGAAATCTGCATTTTTAACAAGCGTCCCTAGGTGTTGTTCTAAGGCAGTAGCTCCCTAACCTGGTTGATCACTAAAAGCATCCAGGGAGCAGTTTAACAAAGTGCAGGTTCTCAGAACACAGTCCAGACCTTCTGAATGAAATCTCCAACAGTTTGGAAATTGTGACGGAAGTTATGGATCATTATGCTGTTCAGAATTGTTTATATAATCATGAAAGTGAAAAACAAGATAATCATGAAAGTGACAGATCCCAGCTGGTGTTGGTGTCACTTCTCACTAATTGTTTGCTTCCTTTTATAAGAAAAGGAGAGGTAGGTAACCCATTATGTTTCCATTCTTGCCTTGAACACCAGGAAACCGAAAGCTGATAGTAACTCTTTCTGGCTTAGATTTCTAGGTATGCTTGTTTCTCTTTCTATTATCGGGTCCTTTCATTAAACATTTTTAAAAAATGTAACCTCTGACTAAGTCACTAGAAGTAGCCAGAGCACAAATTCCAAATTAGTGCAATGTGAATAATTCAAATTCAAGCTCTACCTTAAATGTCAGAAGGTTACCTTCTCTGTTCAGCTTACAAATGTTGGTTATCTTGCATTTCGCAGCTCCACACCAATGATGGGGCTCCCATCAACCTGCCTCATTGGACAAATGACATAGGATGAAGAACCCAGAAGGGATGCTAAACTTGACAGAGTGGAAGAATTGGGGCCTTGTTCAGTTAACCCACAAATGAAGCGTTTCCCTCTCAATTCAATTATCTGTTAAGGAGAGATGGCTGCGGTATAGTGAAAACAGGCCTGGACCTTCAGCCAGAGAACTAGGGTTTGAACCCTAACTCTCTATGGCATTAGATAAGTCATTAGCCCCAGAGGTCTAGTTTCCTCATTTGTGAAATGAGGTTGACAACCTTAACTTTGCCTTTCTTTTGCAGTTATTGTGAAAGTGCTTTGTAGAATGAAATGTTTTCTAAAATGCAAATCGTTTAACAACCAATAGAAATAGCTCAGAAATACTAAATAAAATATATTCAAATGTGATAACCAATCTGTATCTAAGATGGCTTTCCTGTTCCTAGGGAAAAGAGATAGATTTTTTTTTTTTTCTGAGTCTAGAGTATTATACTGTGTTCCTAAATAGGGGAAATCTTACAAGAAAACAGTGGGCAGGGTGGGGTCCCCAGCTGGGAAGAAGTTAGTGCTTAGGTTTACCTTGACTTTGTACTGATCAGATAGTGCTTGAAACATTGTATTCAATTCTTGACAGCTCACTGCAGGAGGGCTTTCAGACCTGTAGTGTGTCCAAAAGAAGCCACGCAGAGTCATAGGGGCCTGGAAATCATGTCGCATTAAAAGTAGTTAAAGGAACTTTGAACACATAGACTAGAGCAGACTCAAGGGACATAGCCCTGTCTTCAGATGTAGATAATGACATAGGATTGTCATGTAAAAGGGGGGAAGGTTTCCTACAATGTGGATCTCCTAATATGTGAACCAACGTCGCTGGAGACAAGATGTCAATTCAGGGGTACAGGGATTTCAGAAAGGAGGACATTAACAAGGGAAATGGTGAGCTGCTAGAATATCAGTTGTCAGATTTTTCAAAATGGATCCTTGCCCTTGGTGAGAAATTGCAATAGATAATCTTTGAAATGTTCTGACCAAAAGATGCTCCAAACCAGTCCCTTCATCACTGACAGGCAAAAAGTTTCTCATCCTTGGAGACAAACTAAAATCTTTCTGTTAAAGAACCTAAACTTCACTTCAGGTAGAAGTTAGTAGTTATCACTGAGAAAGCTTTGATTTGGAGACTCTAAGCTCATCACATGCCAACATCGTTGCTCTTCAACATCTTCTAAGTTTAATACTTCACCTTGATTACTAGGCTTCTCAGATCCATGCTCGATCCAGCACCATCCCCCCACACCGCTTCCCTTGGCACCAAGCCAGAAATCCACTGCTGCCATTTGTGTTTTCATTTAGTAAATAAAGATCAGAAATGACTGCTGCTTTAATAGATTGAAAACTCGGGTCTGCAAATCAATATCTTGGGAGAATTAGAGAAGATTTGGAGAACAACAGTCAATCTCACTATAATTAAAAATAAGCTCTCACCTGCTACTAATTTCCTTCTTGTTTCTTTGCTAACAGAAATCTTTGTTTGAACAAAGAGGTAAAAGGCACAGTTAGAAGCTGTTTACATAGTGCAAATGAGAGTGCTAATTGTAGGAAGCCTGCATGCTAATGAGAAAGAGGTTATTTATCAGTGTGAAATTCGAGTGCAATAAATTGCAGGTGATATTTCAGGAAACATTCATTTTCTAATGATTTCTTTTCACCTCCAACAGTGGCCCTAAATCAAAGTGCAGCATGTTGTAATGAAATGAGAATTGGTCTGGAAGCCGGGAGATCTGGTTGTGGTTCACAGCTAGCTGTGTACCCTTGGATAAACTGCTTTGCCTCTCTGAATTTTGGGCTCAACATCTGTGGAAATTAGGCATATCTAAGTTTTCTTGCAGCCCTGGCCATCACAGTATAACAAGTACCAGCAGGTTACCTAGTTCTACTGAGAAGTAAGTTTCTTTTTCTTGGGATAGACTTTTGCTGTTCTGAAACCTTCTTATAAAAATACATTCTTGGAAGGGGGCTGGCTTCCTAGCTCCCAGGTTTTCCCCTGCCCCCACTGTTATGCTTCTGTGCAGTTCTTTTTGAGGAACTTATTGAAGATCCCTGGAAGCAAGCCTCCACAGCAGCATCAGAACATCACATGCCTCTAGCTGCCCCCTCAGTCCCTTTCACCAAGCTCTGAAGAACCTCCAGGCCCCCTGACCTCCTGGTGACTCATACATTTCACAGATATTCTCTGAGCACCCATGCTGTGCACAGCACCAAGCTAAGCACTAGGAATACAGAATTCTGCAAGGCAGATGTAGGTGATGCCCTCATGGAACTGACTATCTAATGGGAGAAGTCAGATGTCAAACAAATAATTACCCAAATAACTGTGCTAAGTGCTGCGTAGCAAAAGTGTGGGATGCTGTGACAGGGGAACCACCCTACCCTGGAGGGTTAAGAGACACTGTCCTGAGTGATGTTTGTACCAAGACCTAGAGAAGAAGTAAGCTGGTACACAAAGACCCTGGGGTAAGAAGGAGCCCAGCACATCCAAGGACTAGAAAGAAGGTGAGTGTGACCAGAGGACCTTGAATAAGCAGAGAATGAACAAATGGAAGTTGAAGAAGTAGGTACAGCCAAGGTATGTAGAACTCTAGAGGTCACCTTAAGACTTTTGGACTCTGCCCCAAGGCAATCAGAAACTGTTAATAGACTTTAAATGGGGCAGAGATATAATTAGACAGAGGAGTTTTATCAGCCTCTCTCAATTATGTCTAAATTCAGGTTTCCAAGGGACTTGGCAGCACTCCGAAACCCTCTTTCATTCCCTACCTGGGCTGTATATGTATATATGCCAAGCCCCAAGAGCAAAGGGTATCCCAGTGTATCCCAGGAAAATAAATCCACAAATAACACTTTGGTCACAATCCTGCAAGAGTCACTCTCAGAAGAAAGTCCAGCTTCTTCCATCAAGAAGCAGTTCTCTGGGATGCAGAGATGTTAGAAGGCACTCCACCCTCCCTCCTGACCTCTCGCTCAGGTGTACAAGGTAGGATCTTTCCACAGGTAAACAGAAAGGATTTCCCTCCAAAGGGAAATACCAGGATGGAAGTGATCAGCTAGAAACCCCAAAGGCTACAGCACAAAATGGGGCAGAAGCGCAGGAAAGGGTGTAGGAATAAAAGATGTCTGCAAGCTCCAGCCAAGGTCAAATGGAGCTCTCAACTTCCACTCCCAGAAGCCTCTGCATTAACTGTTGCCAGGCACTTGTCGGGGAAAATGCAGACCCCCCCAGCCCCAGATCACTTGGCCCTCATAGGTAGTGCCTTGTGGAAGTCAGCACATAGGCCCTGGAGTCAGACCAACTGACTTCAAATCCTGATGCCACCTCTTTCTAGCTGTGTGGACTCAGACAAATTGCCTCATCTAGTTTAGCCTGTTTCCTGGCATGTAAAATGAGCATCATTATGCTACCTACCTTGTAGGGTTGTTGGGAAAAGTGACTGAGTTAAATTGTGAAAACTACTTAGAAACAATGCCCTCCTGGGACATAGTAAGACCCAGGTAATTGTTAACTATTATAACTTAGAGTCCTTAAGAGTGGGCCTGGAAACCTGCATATTGAACAGGTTCCCTAAGTGATTCTCCGGACCTCTCATTAATGCTTTATCTTCTTTCTGGGGATAGCTGTATGCTAGCCCCTGGGCTATGCTTTTTATGTGTTTTCGTTCATTTAGGCACATGAGATATTGGTAATATTTCCTTATAGAGAGGACACAGGGGCGTAGAGTGGTTGAGTACCTTGTCCAGGGTCAGATTCTGAAATTTTGGATACTCTTTAGGAACAGCGTTTTCCACCAGAATAGAGACTCCAGGGGCAGCCTCAGAGGACCTGGGCAGAGAGTGGCTGTGAGCAGCATCGACACCTACTGCCCAGTGGGAATAGGATGGGTTTGAGGAAGGGCTGAAGCTGAGGGAAGATCTGATCCCCAGAAGATACTGTGCTTCTGCCCAGTGATTCAGGGAGCCCAGGGGAAGAGCTCAGCCCCGCCATCATGCAGCTGGCAGCTGCCCCCTTTGCTCCTTGCCTGCCACAGTCCTCCAGCAGCCTACATGCCCTCCTCATGGCATGCCCTCTGTATGGGGTGGTTGTTGATAAGTGTGCCAACCCCTTGAGGCACCAACCACGTGACTGAAGTCTGGCTGTGTCTGCAGAGCCAAGCACAGTGCCTGGATTGCAGGAGGCAGGGATAAATGAAAGAACTATCACGGGCAGAAGAAGCCCCCAAATCAAAAGCTCTTCATCCCTCAAGTGGTCAAAAAGATAAGGCTGTCAGTCAGAAGCCTTACACTTCAGTCCCATCTCTGCTGCCTTCTGGCTGCTTCACCATCTGTAAAATGCCTACTATAATCATTCAAATGAGAAAAAATGGATCCGAAAGGTGCCTGCACGTGATAAACTAATGTACAAAGATACGATCTTTGCTCTCCGTGAATAGAGACATGATAGTGACATGACATTAGATTGGGGTAAAGTTTAAGTGCCTAAAAGGTGCTACCTTCCTGGTCATTCCAGACAGACCTGCCCTCCTCTCTTTGTGCCCCACTCACCCTCCGCAGCCTTCATTGTAGCACCTGTGACCCTTTAGTGCATTTGTTAGTTGTCACCTGTTTCCCACGCCGGCTGAGAGTACAGCCTCTGAAGAAACAGCCCTTTGGGTTCACTCTCCTCCAGGGGCAGCAATGGAATCTACCCAACCAGGCCAAGGCATGACCCTGCTGGGCAGCCTACTCCTTCAGGACTGCCCCAGTGATTGTTTCAACTAAAAGGTCTTTGGTGAAAGGAATTGAAGATTCTTGCTTCTGATCAACAAGCCTCCCCTGCCACGTAGGTAAGGTTGTCAGTATATGAGGAGCAAATTGCTACACAGTGGAGTCTCAGCCCCAGACAACAAAAGCCAGGCCTCCTGTCATAGCCAAGCCTGACTCTGGAGGGTCTGTGACAGACATCTGATGAAGGTTTGTTAAATGAGTGAATGAATGATTCCTCCGAAAAGAAAGCCTTTCATTTCAGAAATTCTAAGAGTAAAATTTCACACAAATTACAATTATCCTATGGACACAAAGATGCCAGGCACATGGGTACTTGTTGCAGTAGATGAATGTTCCCTATTCCTCACGAATCCCAGCAACAACCCTGTGGGACAAAAACAGCCTTGATCTGACACACACTCCACTGCTCCCTGCCTGCCGCCCTGTGCTGCTCACCCAACTCCCCAGCCCTTTTGTCTTCACAATTCATCCTTCAACTCTGATCTGAACTCAAAGGTCAATTATCCTAGAAAGCCTTTTTGAATGAGGGCCCCGGGAAGCAGGATGCTTGTATTCTTCCGAAGACAGTACAGCTGCCTATCAACTCATGGTAAAGGTACTGGTCTATAGTGGAGAAAGAAAGAGAGACACAGGGAGAGAGAGAGGTGCAATGTTTATCCCCAGGGTAACGTTTACCAAAGGAGGGAACGTGAAATCCCTGTTGGACTCATTAGAATTAATTACTAGTAAGACATCAGGTTAGGTTAGCAGGAATAATAGGTTAGCAGGAATAATAGCAAAGAAAGAGTAGTATCCGGCCGGGCGTGGTGGCTCACGCCTGTAATCCCAGCACTTTGGGAGGCTGAGGCGGGTGGATCAAGAGGTCAGGAGATCGAGACCATCCTGGCTAACACAGTGAAACCCCATTTCCACTAAAATAATAATAATAATAATAATAATAATAATAATAATAATAAATTAGCCAGCTGTGGTGGCGGGCACCTGTAGTCCCAGCTACTTGGGAGGCTGAGGCAGGAGAATGGCATGAACCTGGGAGGCGGAGCTTGCAGTGAGCTGAGATCACGTCACTGCACTCCAGCCTGGGCGACAGAGCGAGACTCTGTCTCAAAAAAAAAAAAAAAAAGAAAGAAAGAAAAAGAAAAAAGAAAGTAGTATCCAGGCAGGGTTAAAACCAGCTATTCTGCAGACAAAGAAATGAATGAACAGGCAATTTTCTGTGGCAACACACAGGAAAATTTCTGGTGGGGGCCAAGGAGGGATCAGGTGCACAGAAGTCGGCCAGGTCATTGTGCAGCCAGAAGGCAAGATTTCTGTTGTGGTCCTGTTTTCCTTCCTATTAGAGGTGGGGAACAATAGTGCATGGTGTAAAGGGTCTCCCCCAACCCACCCAGAAGTCACAGTGAAGAGTCTCAAAGAAATACTTTTTCCATGCATAGTCAAAAATGAATATGAGAATGAAAGAAATAAGAAAATTATTCCAAAGAGGAAGGACTTAAAACCAATGTCCATAGTCTGAAAAGTGGGGAAGAAAGGAATAAAACTCTCCCACCAATTCTCAGAATAATGGGAAATTCCCAGTTTTTAAAAAAGGCAACAATCTATTTTTCTTGTAATGAATTCAGTGAGACCCAGACAATAGAAAATAGGAAGAATTGGCTGGGTGCGGTGGCTCACGCCTATAATCCCAGCACTTTGGGAGGCTGAGGTGGGTGGATCACTTGAGGTCAAGAGTTCAAGACCAGCCTGGCCAAGATGGTGAAACCCCGTCTCTACTAAAAATACAAAAATTAGCTGGGCGTGGTGGTGCATGCCTGCAGTCCCAGCTGCTTGGGAAGCTGACACAGGAGAATGGCTTGAACCCAGGAGGCAGAGGTTGCAGTGAGCCAAGATCACGCCACTACACTCCGCTCTAGCCTGGGTGACAGAGTGAGACTCCATCTCAAAAAAAAAAAAACAAAAGAAAAGAAAACAGGAAGAATCTTGTTACCATCGCCCTTCACATGCATACACCTCCCAGGAAGACAAAGACGACCTTCTATACCATAATTGATGCAGCCAAGTAGGGGGTGCTATCTTCCAAAAACGGGAACCCCCCAAGACTCAAACTTTCAGTTTGAGCATTTAGGGTGGAAAGATCAAGGGCACTCAGGCTGGCCTTGACAATAGGAATCATTGTCAAGTCATGCAACCACGCAAATTACCTAGCCTTTCTGAGCCTCCATTTTTTCATCTGTGAAATGGGCAAAAAAATCTCACAGATAGGGTTGTTATGAGATCTGAAAGATAATGACTAATGTAAAACACTTGGTACAATGGCTGTAAAATAACAGGGCCTCATAAAATGTTCCAAGCCTTCCACCGTTTCTATAGATTTACTGATGAACAAAGAATTCAGAAGAAATCTGGAGGATTTCTTGGTTTCTAAGTAAAGGAAACTAAAAAGCATGTGAAGTCATCTTGTCTTCTAATTAAAAGTTATGAGTATTAAGAATATCTTTTCTGACTCACCAAAAGCAGGGTAGAATCCCTCCTAGGTCCCCCCTACAGCACCTTCATAACATCCCTCAATCACGGCACTCAGGCTACTGGTTGAAATACTATCATTGTCTGCTTACTTGTCTGTATCATCTACTAAATTATCAAGTTCAGAATATGATCAGGGACAGTATGTATCTACTTCATAGATACTTGCCCAGTCCTTTATACAGTGTCTGAGTAGTTGTTTAATTAATTAATCAGCAGTAATTTGATTAATTAATATTCATCATTATTTAGGAGACACATGTAGTATAAAAATATCTTACAATAAAAATCTGGATTAAAACCAAGAGTGACATCCATAATAAGATTCAAGAATAGAACAGAGAAATAAAAGATGGGTTTGGGGGTATGAAATTCCATGACTTCAGGAAGGGAAGGAAAGATAATGTTTTACTGTCTTCTATTTGGTTTGTTTTTTTGTTTTATTTTGTTTTGTTTTGTTTATCAAATACATACACCTTAAAACAAATCAACACAGAAATATAAATAATAAGTGAAGGAATATGGGAAAAAGTATA
The DNA here is from genome assembly GCF_000001405.40 of Homo sapiens. Lineage (NCBI taxonomy): Eukaryota > Metazoa > Chordata > Mammalia > Primates > Hominidae > Homo > Homo sapiens. The sequence goes on from NC_000009.12 coordinate 99,613,716, forward strand.
TAAACATAAAGCATAATTTCAATATTATTTCCAGATAATATCGATTACCAGGCAAATGCACAAGTTCATCATTTATATTGGCAAAAGGTATAATTTACAATGAAAATATAATTTTAATGAACATTTATATGTCAATATTGCATTAACACGTGTAAAGCAAAAATTGTCAGAAATATAAAGAGAAAAATAACAGAAATGTGATCATATTCAGAAATGCTAACAAATCTGTCTTTGACAGATAAAAAAGTAAGCAAAGATGTAAAGATGCTGGTTAATCTATTTATTAAAATTGATTTAATGAATAAATTCATAAAATGCATTTGACATGAACAAACAGAAAATGTAATTTCTTTCTCCACATTTATTGTAGCATTATTCACAGTAGCCAAGATATAGAAACAACCTAAGTGTCCAACAATGAACAAATAAATAAAGAAACTACAGTATATGGTTGAGCATCCCTAATTCAAAATCTGAAATAAAAAATGCTCCAAAATTCAAAACGTTTTGAGCACTGACATGACACCACAAGTGGAAAATTCTACACCTGACCTCATGTGATGGGTCACATATATTAGTTTAAATACTGTATAAAATTACCTTTAGCCTAATGATATAGTTTGGATATTTGTCCCTGCCCAAATCTCATTCTGAACTGTAATCCCCAATGCTGGAGGTGGGGCCTAGTGGGAGGTGTTTGGATCATGGGAGCGGATTCCTCACAGCCTGGTGCTGTCTTCATGATAGTGAGTTCTCGCAAGATTTGGTCATTTAAAAGTGTGTGGCACTTTCTCTCCTTTCTCTCTCTCTCTCTCTCTCTCTCTCTCTCTCTATCTCATTCTCTCTCTCTCTCACTCTCTCTATCTCATTCTCTCTCTCTCTCACTCTCTCTCTCTCTCGTTCCTGCTTTTGCGAAGTGAAGTGCCTGCTCCTGTTTCACCTTTTACTGTAATTGGAAGTTTCCCGAGGCCTCCCCAGAAGCAGATGCCATTATACAACTTGCAGAACCATGAGCCAATTAAACCTCTTTTCTTATACATTACTCAGTCTCAGGTATTTCTTTATAGCAATGCAAGAATGGACTAATACACCTAGGTATATACAGTGTATATGAAACATAAATGAATTGTGTATTTAGACTTGAGTCCCATACTCAAGATATCTTATTCATGTATAGGCAAATGTTCCAAAATCTGAAAAAAAAATCTGAAATCCAAAACACTTCTTGTCCCAAGCATTTCAGATAAGGGATATTCAATCTGTATATATACAATGGAATATTATTTGGGCATAAAAAAAGAATGAGATCTTGCCATTTGCCATAAGATGGATGAGTCTGGAAGATATTATGCTAAGTGAAATAAGCCAGACACAGAAAGAAAAATAATTTGCAAGATCTCATTTATATGTGGAATCTAAAAAAAAAAAAAAAGATCAAATATACAGAGATAGAAGACAAAATAGTGGTTACAAGGGTCGGGGTGGTGGGAGGAAATGGAAAGATGTAGGTCAGAGGATACAAAGTATCAGATACATAGGATGAACAAGTCTAGAGATCTAACATGCAACATGAAGACTATAGGTAACAAAATTGTACTGTATTTCAGATTCATGCCAAATGAGCATATTTTAGCTGCTCTTGCCACAAAAAAGTAAAACAAGGAGTAGCTATGTGAGATGATTGATAAATATGTTCATTTGCTTCACTATACTTTTTACTATCTATATGCTTCACTTTTACTATCTACATGTATTCCATAACATCTTGTTGTACACATTAAATATATACAATTTATTTAAAAAAAAAATTTTAAAAGAAGCTGGATACAGTGGCATGCACCTGTAGTCTCAGCTACTCAGGAAGCTGAGGCAGGAGGATTGCTTGAGGCCAGGAGTTGGAGATCACAGTGAGCTAGGATCACGCCTGTGAGTAGCCACTGCATTCCAGCCTGGGCAACATAGTGAGGCCCCATCAAAAAAGAAAGGAAGAAAGGAAGAAGGAAGAAAAGAAGAAAAGAAGGAAGGAAGGAAGGAAAGAAGGCAAGAAAAAGAAAGAAAGAGAAAGAAAAAGAAAGAAAGAAATCAAAGATGTAAAGGTGCTGATTAATTTATTAAAATTGATTTAATGTACAAATTTATAAAATTGTACAATTTAATATGAACAATCAGAAAACATACTTTCTGTTCCAAAACCTATACACTATTTACAATAATTTATCGTAAAGTAGGATACAGAGAAAAATTCAAAGTCCTAAAACCAAAGTTTCACAAGCTATATTCCTGAATGTAATGTAACAAAATTATAAATTAATAACCAAAGTTAGAAAGAAAAGTCCAACCACTTAAAAATTTTTAAAAATTACTCTAAAAAAATTGTTACAGAACTATAAATTATAATTGCAAATAATTTTAAATAAAAAATTTTAAACTCTACATTAAAATGTATATAAAATACCCAAACTATTTTCAGAAAAGTATATAGTCATAAATATTTCAATATTAAATAAGAAAGATATCAATGAATGAATCTGTTATTTAAAGTCTAAAAAAAGGCCGGATACAGTGGCTCACGCCTGTAATCCCAGCACTTTGGGAGGCCAAGGCTGGTGGATCACCTTAGGTCAGGAGTTTGAGACCAGCCTGGCCAACATGGTGAAACCCATCTCTACTAACCATACAAAAATTAACTGGGCATGGTGGTGTATGCCTGTAATCACAGCTACTCGGGAGGCTAAGGTAGGAGAATCACTTGAATCTAGGAAGTGGAGGTTGCAGTGAGCCAAGATCACACCAATGCACTCCAGCCTGGGTGACGAGGATGAAATTCCATCTCAAAAATTAATAAATAAATAAACAAATAAAAATAAAATCTAGAAAATAAATTTTTAAAAAATAAGAGAAAGGAATAAATAAATGTAAAATAGCATGGTAAAGATAAAGGAATAAAAAGATTAAATGTCAGAGTTTCTAATGTATAAGTAAGTAAGAGGGAATTCTGGGAAGATGGGAACAACAGTGGTAAGATGGTTTTTAGATATTCCCAATTGCCACATAAAAACAGAGTAACTAGATGGCAAAATCAAAATCTATAAAAAACATTTACAACAAAACTAGGTGACAAGTTATCTCCAGGAGCCCCTAAATACAAGTGGGTGGCACAAATCAACAAGAGTCAAGACCTGTGTATTGCTGGCCCCCATGCAAGAGGGAGCAGAAGGATGCAGCAGGGTGCACCCGAGAACAGGAGCGTTCTGAAGGAGTCAGAGGATTTTCACTGGAAGATGCAGTGGGCCAATTTAAGTGCAGCAGCTAAAGCTGGGAGAGAACTTGGCTTCCTCCAACAGCAAACGAATACAAAGGAGCCAAAGGGATGGAGCAGCCTCACCTCTACGAAATAGGAGAAATGAAAAATGTAGGCATTTGCAATGAAAAATTTCTCTAAACTAAAAGATTAAAAATGTGAAATAAATGGAACATTAAAAAAAAGCAAATTACTGATACTGATCCAAGAAAAAATAAAAAATTTGAATGGCTGAAAACTCATGACATAAATTAGTGTTCACAACATTACTTGCTCTAAAAATGATATAGGCACGTATGGTTGTGATGGACAAATTCTTTCAGATCTTCAAATAAACAGATAATTATTTTTCAATATGTGAGAACAAAGTACACAAATAAATATTAACAAAACTAATCACACATACTTTTTTTTTTTTCTTTTGAGACAGAGTCTCACTTTGTCACCCAGGCTAGAGTGCAGAGGCACAATCTTGGCTCACTGCAACCTCCACCTCCTGGGTTCAAGCGATCCTCCTGCCACCATCTTCCAAGTAGCTGGGATTATGGCACATGCCACTACATCTGGCTAATTTTTGTATTTTCAGTAGAGACGGCGTTTCGCGACATTACCCAGGCTGGTGTCGAACTCCCAGCCTCAAGCAATACACCTGCCTCGGCCTCCCAAAGTGCTGCAATTACAAGCATGAGCCACCTCACCCAGCTCACACATACATTTTAAAAAGCTTGTGGAACAAAAGTATTTATGAACATGGATTTTAAAAATTCTAAAGAACATAAACAAAATACAATATTATAGAAATATTTATTTCAAAAAGATACCTGCACTCATATGTTTATCACAGCACTATTCACAATAGCAAAGATATGGAGTCACCCTAAATGTCCCTCAACAGATTGGATAAAGAAAATGTGAGATGGATAGATAGATAGAACATGGAATACTATTCAGTCATAAAAAAGAATGAAATCATGTCTTTTGTAGCAACGTGAATGTAACTAGAGTCCAATATCTTAAGTGAAACAACTTAGACACAAAAAGACAAGTACTGCATATTCTCACTTATAAACTGGAGCTACATAACATAAACACATGGACATAGAGTATGGAATAATAGACTCTGGAGACTCAGAAGAGTAGGGGATGAAAGGGGAGTGGATGATGAGAATTTACTTAACGGGTACAATGTATATTATTCCAGTGATGGATACACTAAAAGCCCTGACTTCACCACTATGCAATATATCCATGTAACAAAATTACACTGGTATTCCATACATTTATACAAATAAAAAAAAGAAAGAACAATAATCTATGTCCAAATAAGATTTAACCTAGGAAATCTAGTAAGGTAATTTATTCCACCAATAGGCCAAGAGAGAAAAAATACCCATTAGATCAGCTTAATAGATGATGATAAGTAATTAATAAAATTAAATATTTATTCCTGATTTTAAAGATTCCTTGTAAATTAAAAAAATTATTCAACCTTAACATGGTACTATTTATCTTTCTAATATACACAACTTCAGATGTTATGATGAAATACTGGAAATATTCTCATTAAATAAAAAAGTAAGATAAGTCTTCCCAGTATTGCCACTATTATTCAAAATTATTCTGGAACTGCTTCACCGTGCAATAAGTAAAGAAAAGGAAAAAAAGAGTTATAAATATTGGAAGGAAAAAATGTTATTTCCTAATGTTGACATTATCTTCCTAAAAAACCTTAAAAATTAAAAATAAAAATAATTAGAGATAATTATCTCCTCCCAAGTGGTTTTCTAATTAAACAGACAAAAGAAAAAAATGTGCTTATAAGTGGTATAATTACATTTAAAAACAAAAAATGTACTCCATAAGTAACCTCTATCCCTTCCTTCTCCAACATATATAGATTAAGTTTTGTCTTAGCTCTAGGTCATAATTTAATTAAAGGGAGATTGATCTTATGACTCTGACTCTGTTTTAAAAAGTAAATATTTTCCTGTTTTTTGCATTATAAATAAACTACCTGTTTATTGTATAAATTTTAGAAAAATACAGATGAGATTCACGGGTTCTAAGGACTAGGGGGAAAAAGAAAATACAGGTGAGAAGAATTAAGAAGTAAGTAAAGATCACCCTCCAACCACAGAAAACCACTATTAATATCCTAAAATATATAAACCACTTATCCAGTTTATTTATCTTTTTTTTTCTTTTTTTGTGAGACAGAGTCTTGCTCTTGTCACCCAGGCTGGAGTGCAATGGCACGATCTCAGCTCACTACAACCTCCACCTGCTGGGTTCAAGTGATTCTCCTGCCTTAGCCTCCCAAGTAGCTAGGATTACAGACATGCCACCACACCCAGCTAATTTTTTGTGTTTTTAGTAGAGACGGGGCTTCACCATGTTGGCCAGGCTGGTCTTGAACTCCTGACCTCAGGTGATCCACCCACCTAGGCCTCCCAAAGTGCTGGGATTACAGGAGTGAGCCACCACACTTGGCCTTATTTATCTATGTTACATAATTATTCTCTTGCCTAAATTTCCATATCACATAAAAGTTAAAACACAGTTTTCTTATTGCAGTAGGTTGAATAATAGTTCCCAAAGATATCTAGGCCCTAATCCCTGGACACTGTGAATGTTAGTTTATATGGCAAAAGGGACTTTGCAGATGTGATTAAGTTAAGGGTGTTAGAATGGAAAGACTATCTTGGTTTATTCAGATGGGCTCTAAGTATGATCAAAAATGTCCCTATAAGATGATGACACAGAGAAGATGACACAGAAGAAGGCAATATAACAATGTGACACCCGAAGCAAGATGTGACCCATCCGAAGCCAAAATTATGCTTTTGGCTTTGGAAAAGTCAAAAGCCAAGGAATACAAGCTTCCACTAGGAGCTGGAAAAGGCAAGGAAATGGATTCTCCCCAAGACCCTCCAGAGGGAGCAGAGCCTTGCTGACACCTTGGTGTTGGTCCAGTGCAACTGATTTTCAGACTTCTGACCTCCAGAGCTATAAGAGAATACATGTATGTGGTTTTAAGTCACCAAGCTTGCAGTAACTTACAGCAGCAATAGAAAACCAATACACTTATGAAATCATTTTTGATTAATAAACAACTCAGGAGCAATATTGTACAATTAGATATTGGTCTTGTACGTTAAAAAAAACCAAACTGCAAAACATCCCCCTACCCTATCCCCGCAAAAGGTATGTCCCCCTATGTAGTGTGATGGATCCCCCACCAGGTTACTTAAGGGTGTATCTCTGCTCCCTAAACCCTGAAGACTGGGCAGTGAGCCAAGGCCATGGTGCCCAGTCGAGGAGCAAGTGACCCTGAGAACCCAAACATCCCAGAGAGTATCTGAGAACCTACCAAGGGAAACAGTCTCATCACTCAAACACTGTAGGCAAAGAACCAGAAAATTAGCTTCAAAGCAGCTTAGAGACCGAAGGTGGCATGGATGTCTAGAGAGGTCCTGCCGCCATCCAGGAGTGCCCGGTATGTAGGTCCTAATAAATTCATCTACTCATCAAGGTGGATGTGTGCAAGTCATTCTTTAGTTTCTTGGCTTCTTCCCAGTTTGGGCGGGAGGTGTTACAATCCCAAGTTTTTCTCATCACACCATGGCAAAGTCCTCTGAATAGAATGAGGCTTTTGGAAAGAGGGTATTTAAATGTATTAAAATAAATTTACAATAATTTGCATGTAAGAAAGAAATAAAGGATATACAACTTGTAATGAACACAAAGACGACAGCAGGAAAAAATAACTATCAGAAAGCTGAAATCCTGAATGAGATGAGACTTCTGGGGGAGGTTGGTAGTGAATAGTGCTAGACAAAAACATCATTCCAAGGTGTGTTCCAAGCAAAAAAGAATAACAAGGAAGGGATGGGCCAAGGGATGACATGACGGAGTGTCAACTAATAGATGACCTAGAAGTAGCAAGATCACTCAGGCAGTGCGGCGCCATTCTTGTTTCATAAAAATCATCTTCAAATAGAAACAGGAAGACAAAAGATGACCATCATGGAATTTATTGTGATATAGACACACAGTGGAATACTATTTGGCTATTTAAAAAAAATGAATGAAATCCTGTCGTTCCTGGAACATGGATGAGCCTGGGGGACATGATAGGTGAAATAAGCCAGGCACAGGAAGATAAATACTGCAGGTTGTCACTCATGTATGAGAGCTGGGGTTTAAAAAAAAAGCTGAGCTCATAGAAGTAGAGAGTAGAACTGTGCTTATCAGAGGCTGGGAAGGGTAGGAAGGAGGGAGAATAGGGAGAGATTGGTTAACAGAAACAAAGTTACAGCCAGATGGGAGGAATACATTTTAGTGTTCTATAGCACTGTGGGGTGAATATGGCTAAAAATAATTTAGTGTACCTTTTCAAAAAGCTTGGAGAGGATTTTGAATGTTCACAACACAAAGAAATGATAAATGTTCAAGGTGATGAATATGCTAATTATCCTCATTTGATCATTAAACATTGTATACATGTATCAAAATATTACCGTCTCATAAGTATGTATAGTTATTATCTGTCAACTAAAAAAAGGAAAAGATGATGGACTTTATGTCATGATAAGTAAAGTGACATTAAGAGTTTCTGGTTACATTAAATCAATGCATTCATTCAGTCAGTCAACAAATGTTTACCTAGTGCCTAATATGTCCCAGGCACTGGGAACCCCACAGAGACCAAAAACGCCAAGGTCCCATCTTCATGCAGGTTGTAGCTCAAGTGGGAGACATGGCATTACAAATAATCACATGATTATATCAGCGCAAATTGTGTTAAGAGGAGTGAAAAAAGAAAAAGATGACCTGAGATTGTACCAAGGACTCACTTTACATTGGAGATGAAGTTGGGAGTGTCTAGGAAACTTGCTGTTGAGAAGCAATATTCACTTCTATGAATGTCATCCAACCCAGGCAACTATGTGAGGGACTAAAAGGACACACAGATGTGACTACAGAAACACAGTCAGCACTCCTGAAACACACACAAAGAATATGAAAAGGTGGGAGATGGAAAAATATACCCTTTCCGAAAAGTGGAGGAAACGTGGATGCTGGAAACTACAGACCAAAAACAAAAAGCTATGAGCATGAGAAAACAAAGTGGCTTTACCAGTCAGTTCACAAAGAACAAATCTTAGGAAGGAAGCTCATGCTGGCACCTACCCCTGCCTTCTGCTGAAGTCCACCAGCTCACTCTGAGTCTCTTAATCAGAGATAAGAGATTTGCCTCCTAATATTAGCTGATGAGTTTGATATGTTTAGAGACTCAAAAACAACTCCGCATAAAAAAATTCTTGTACCTTCCATTTGTTGCCTGTGTCTTCTCTCTGGCTAAAGGGATTTTCAAATCTATGCTTATGGAAGGAACAGTGTAATTGCTCTTTAAGGACCCTGTTTCCACCAGAAACATTCTGCCATGATGCAGCCATGACTTACATCCTCGCTTACCTCCTGGAAAGGTAGAAAGGAAAAAAAACCATATGGTGGTATAATTCCTGCTGGCCTGAGTTAGAACTGCATAATGATCTTTCAACCTATAGGTTCTTTCACTTCCTTGCAGCTTTTGCCGTCTGTTATATATAGCAGCAGTCCCCAACCTTTTTGGCACCAGGGACTGGTTTTGTGGAAGATAATTTTTCCATGGATGGTGGGGGACGGGGGATGGTGTCAGGATGAAACTGTTCTACCTCAGAGCATCAGGCATTAGTTAGATTCTCATAACGAATGTTCAACCTAGACCCCTCACATGCGCAGTTCACAACAGGGTTAGGGCTCCTATGAAAATCTAATGCTGATCTGGCGGGAGGCGCAGCTCAGGCAGGAATGCTCCAACGCTGGCCACTCACCTCCTCCTGTGCAGCCCGGCTCCTAACAGGCCATAGACTAGTACTGGTCTGCAGCCCGGGGGGTTGGGGATCCCTGATATATATGATGGTTAATTTTACATGTCAATTTGACTGGGCCACAGGATGCCCAGTCAAATAATGGTTAAACATTATTTGCAGGTGTGTCTGTGAAGGTGTTTCTGGATAAGATTAGCATTTGGATCAGGACACTGAGCAAAGCATATTGCCCTCCCCAATGTGGGTGGGCCTCCCCCAATCCACTGATGACCTGAATAGAACAAAATGGAAGTGGAAGGGAGAATTCACTCTCTGTCTCTGCCTGACTGCTTAAGTGGGGACATGGTCTTCTCCTGCTCTAGACTAGAACTATCACCCTCAGCTCCTCTTGTTCTTAGGCCTTCAGATTCAGACTAAAACTATACCACCACCTTTCCTGAGTCCCTAGCTTGCCAATTTATCTTGCAGATTTTGAGACTTGCCAGCCTCCATAATTACATGAACAAATTCCTTATAATAAATCTCTCTCTCTCCTTCTCTCTCTCTCTCCACATATATATATATATATACACACACAATTTTAAAATATATATTTAAAAATATATAATATATATTACATGTTATATATTATTACACATATATAATACAAACTATATTTAAAATTAGCATCTATAAAATCTCCTATTAGTTCAGTTTCTCTGGTAAATCCTAACTAATCCTACTTACTACATATTCATATATACATTATATATACAATATTATTATATATAAAATTTTCTTAACCAGCACAGCTCAATAGAAATATAATGCAAGCCATATATAATTTTAAATCTTCTAGTAACTACATGTTTAAAAAAGTGGAATTAATTTTAATAGTATTTTTATTTAACTCAATATATCCAAAATATCATTTAAACATTAATATAAAAAACTATTAATGAAATATGTTGCAATCTTTTTTTACTTCTAAGTTGTCAAAATCTAGTATGTTTATTACACTAACAGCACATCTCAGTTAGGATAAGCTGCATCTCAAATGCTCCGTAGCCACCTGTGGCTAAAGGCTACCACACTGGACAGCACAGTCCTAAACTGTAACTTACTTTTCTATTCTAGAAAACAACAGATGTCAGGTGTAGCAGAACATTTCAAGAAAAATATGAAATGGAAACTTCATAGGAAGATTCGGTTCATAGGAAAGGTCAGGTTCATAGGAAAATGTGGGCCCTCCCACCAGGGCAAAGAAAGTTCCCTGCTACCTGGTGTGGCTTCAGGCAGTGCCACCACATTGGACAACAACAGGAGACACCACTGATGTGGCAGAGCCATGCAACCGTGGCAGTCCTGACTTCAGGGATTAGGATTAAGACAGGCTGCCCTGAGCAAAAAGTGACCCCTATACACAGTGCCTTGGTGCAAATAAAACTCCACATTACTCTCCTTTTTTAGGATAATACCTTGCAAGAAGCAGTCAACAGCAACTTTCACCCATACTGTTTATATGTTAAGCCATCATCAGCTAATAAGGCATTTGTTTAAATTTTCTTCATTAGATGGTACAGATTGGAACAGCATTGTGTGACAATATAGAGTTTCACATATTTTTCTGTCATTATCTTATTTAATCCTAATATAACTATGTATCATTGCACTGGAATAAGGCACAAAAAATCAGTAAGTTTTGATGAGTGCACCAAATGATTTGACATCACTTAGTACTAATTAAATTACTGAGATACGAACTCTCATTAATATAGACTACACACACACACACACACACACACAATTCTTAAGATATGTCTTTTGAAAGTTTTTGCTGACTCAGGTCTGAGCAAGGAAGTAGTGAAGGATTGTCCAATGAGAGTAGCCCATGAGATCAGATAGATATGGAGGGTTCAAGACTAGCAACCTTAGGAAAACTGTGCCAGAAGGAAGAATGATGCTCTTAATGGGATGCAAAGCAGATGAGTCAAGCATCCCAAAAGTTAAATTTCAGTGGGTTGCCATAATAGAGTAAAAGGAAAGCCAGATGGATGCGCAGGTCTCAAAACAGAATGAAATGAGACTAGATCTAGAACCAGGTGAGTTAATTGCCAATATGGGAACTCATCTGGTGAACACAGCCAGTCTGTCCTTCAGGCATGGCTTAACACCTGCTGGGCTGACGGCACATCTTTTAGTGCAGAATTTCTCAAACTTTACTGGTCAGAGATTCCCCTGGGGATCTTGTTAAAGGGTAGAATCTGATTCTTCTGACTCGGTAGATTGGATGTCAGGTGGAGAGTCTGCATTTCTGATGACCTCCCAGGTGATGCTGATGCTGCCGGTCTAAAGGCTACATTTTGAGTAGCAAGGAATTAGAGGGCAGAATCTTGTCATAAGTCAAGGATGATGACAGTGGAAATGCATTTTTTTACTCTCATCTTTGCTCCACATAACCCTAATGGCTTTTAAAACAATTATTTCAATCAATGCTCTTTAAGAATCATACATAGTAAAGAATCTGCTAAGCCTGTACTTGGACAAGTACAAAGATCTCTGTTAGGCAAGAAACATTCTGTGTCTTCAAGGAGGGCATGGTCTACCAGAAAAAGTAGAAGGACGCCTCTCCACTCCTTCCTGTTTCAGGAGTAACCTGGGGTACAGTGATAGAAAGATAGCCAAAGACAATGCCCACATGAATCTTAAAAATGGCATCAGAAATTTAACTCTTTAAAGTGGCATGGCTCCAAGTCTCTGCTTAAGAGCAATTCCAAGTAGAAAGCAAAACAAGAAGAAAAAAATTTCAGGAGAAATAGTAGTCAGGCGGTCTGAGTTAAAACCTCCAAACTCAACACCAACATCATCAAACCCAAGTTCATAGCACTGAAAACTTGAAAACTTTTACTGCCAATGTTAACAAACCAATTATGCTAAGATTGTTCTTCAACTTAAAAGAGTTTAGGAAAGCATATGGGGGTTATAGTCCCCCCTCCTTTGTCAAGAAATCACCAAATAATAATAGCCACTTTATTTTAGCATTTACTGTGACCCAGGAGTAATAAGTGCTCTAAAAGTATTATTTAATCCTCATAACAAACCCATGTAGCAGGTATTGCTGTTAACCCCATTTTATAGAAGAGGGACAAAGTTTCTGATAAATTAAGCAACCCACCATAAGTCATACAGCTAGTAAGAAATAAGCCAGGATTCCAAACAAAGGCTGGCTGGAATTTTTCATAATAAAAAGTTTTTTTAATTAAAAGACTATTTAATTCTAAAGCCAAATCATAATTTAAAATTATCATAACCATATCTACTCAAGCTACTTCATGGTGCATTTATGAAGCTCTGCTGAAATAAGAGATTTGAAAGTGCTTGAAAAATATCTGCAGCTAAAACAAGAAATAAACACAGAAAGACAGAATGAGAGAGAGAAGCTAGAAAACAAAGGTGCTCTGTAAACTATAGAGGATGATTTTAGTTGCTCATATGATTTATCATTACAAGGTTCCAAGACTGCAGAGCCAAGTCAAGGCTGTAAACATAAATCAATGCATCTTCCAGCATCAGGAGATAAAAGACCTCTTTGAACTCTAGACTTCAACTTCTCTTAGCCTTGATATCACCTAGTGCTGATTCATATAAATAAAGCCTAAATGTGAGGAAGACTGTGTCCCTGTTCCTTAAGAAAATACCAGTGGCATTCTCTCCTCATCTCTCTCTCTCACACACACACACATACATACATAGACACACACACACACTTAGATCTAAGCCTCAACTTCCTCTTCTTATACAGGGAAAAAACAGATCCAGAGAATAGTAATAGGCCCAAAGCCTAACTAGACAATATAAGAATTAACATTTTAACCATCTGTTTGGTTCCATACTGCCTCTTCTTTAAAAAAGGAACTGGAAGTAGAATGGGCTATACCTTCATTCATGGAAAAACATTGTTTTTATTCATTTATCTTTTAATGCATGTTCATCAGAGCTAGATACTGTGTAAGTGCAAGAGCACAAAGGTGAATGAGATAGCATCTTTCCCCTCATAAAGCTAGAGTCCAAGAATTTATCTGTGCTGGGCACTATCTTAGCCTTTTTGCAAATGCAAAGATAAGTCAGATCAGTTCCTGTCCTCAAGGAGCTATTACCTAATGAGGAAGGTAAACATATAAACAATTAAACTTACATTTACATACAGATGTGGGATCCTGAAGAATGGATAAAGGTGACTATAATGAACAACAATGCGCTGTGTATTTCAAAATAGCTAGAAAAGAGGACTTGAAATGTTCCCAAGACATAGAAATGATACTCAAAGTGATGGACACCACAAATACCCTGACTTGATCATGACACCAGTCTATGCATGTAACAAAATATCACATGTACCCCATAAATATGGACAAATATTATGTATAGATAAAAATAGATGAAATTTTGATAGGAAAGGACAAGATCAAAAGGATAAATTGTAGAGTTCTAACAAGTTGAGAATTTATATTGTAAGCAATGGAAAAATCACTGAAAGTTATTGAACATAGGAACAGAATCATGAACACAGGACTTAGGAATGGTGGGTTGGAAAAAGGTGAGAAAAGAGAGAGGGAAACCAGCTAGGGAGACTGTAAATACAGTGTTCAGATGTGCAGTCCTGGCATATAGGTCCTCACTGAAAGTAGTGGAGGAACATGACCAGGACCTGGAAACATTTAGTTGGGAGGCAAATGTGAAAAGGACTCAAAGAATCCCAGGATTTGGGCTTGTTGTTGGGGGAAAACAGCAATCTTACCAACATAATAGATTTAAGGAAAAAGACAGTGGGCTTGTGGAAAATGTGTAGACAATCACATGGCTATAGTGAGATTCCTGAAAACAGACAGCCAATAATTAATAGAAATGTCATGAACCTAGTCCAGAGTTGAGTGTCCTACCAGCAAAATATATTTTCTTGGATAGGTGATTTTTCAAGTTACATTCTGGGACGTTTCAGGAGCTGGAACCTTAAGTATTATACTATAACTGGGTTGCTCTTCAGGTGTTATCGATAATTTTTACTGTTCATTTTATTCAGTGTTCAAGAGAGCATCCCATGCAACCATGCAACTGTCTCTTCAAAGCAGAATAAAGCTTCACATTCATTTTGGGGAGCCTCCTAGGACCCTTTGGGCCATAATATCTGATTTGTGGGAATCCCTGCTCTAGATTGGACTGCTTTTCTGGAAACAACAGCAAATTCAGAAGTGAATTCCCCTAATCCTCTCACCCCTGCTCCATCTACCCATACCTACAGCTCCAAAGTCTACCTAAAGACTAATAAAATAAATTCCAAGGCTTTCTAGTAAGGGATCTCAGACCTTGACTAATGAGGCTTCCATAACTTGAATTTTATTGATCCAGAATCCCTCCATCATGATTTGAGCTCATTCCCCCTTTACAAGGCTTCAATAAGATATCTGATGCCAATCCATCTCTTAATGAGGAATCAACCCTAAAGTCCCCTCAAGTCATGCTATGTTCCAGGGAAGGTCTGACCTACTCTCTTTATTCATGTCTTCATCAGTGGCCAACATTTCAGAGCACTTCCTGTGTGTTAGAGTCTGTGCCAGAAATTGGGCAGATTCAAGGAGAATCAGATGCAGTTCCTGTTCCAGCACTTTACATTCTAATATGGAAGCTATGCAGTAAAATAACTATGGGAACAGACAGACAGTGCTCAGAGGTGTAACAGAGAAGTATATATAAAGTGCTAAAGAATTTAAAAAGGAAAAGTTTACTTTCATATGGGGGAAAAGGAAGTTCATGAGAGAGTTTGTGGACAAAATGGCACTTCAGCTAGGCATGGAAAGATAAGAAGGTGAATGTGTGGATTTGGAGAGGGGCAAAAATGGACAACTCCTTGGGCCAAAAGACAAAGAAGACCAGACTAGAGTGTCTGAGGGAGTATATGAGGGAAAAACAGAGCCAATGAAAGGTGGCATATTCATGAGATCTGCATACTCACAGCAGAGACACAGAAAGCGAGAGAGAGAAGAAACTGTTTCTAGTCATACTCAGCATAGATTCTGCCCTAGCCCACAAGCATTTTTCTGTCTATCAACAGTCAACTGGACCTGGATTCAGGAGGAAGATACTTATAGGTTTTAATCTTAGACCTAGAAGAGGAAGTTGCTACCAAATAAAGGATGGGTGGGGGGGAGGGGGGAGGGGGGAAGTTAACATAAGGGAGCAAGAGGGGAAGAGGTTTGCTTATATATTAAGAGCAACACCATGGCAGAGCCCTTATGGTTTTATTTATGTAGCTACATCAAGAGAGTGTTTAGATGAAACATTGTCTTCTAGAATGAAATCTTTCTTAGATCTTATGCTAGGTAGCCACACATAGGGGGAATGTCAGTACAGTCAATCAGACAGGAAAACAAGCAACCCTCCTTAAAAAGCGAATATCAAAAAATAGTCATTTCTCCCCACTCTTGCTAAACTGAGTACTGTGCCTGTAAATTTCACCCAATAGCATCCCCAAAAAGAGAAAAAACACAGAACAATGAAATTAGGGAAGAGTCTGGAAACCAGATTAAAGACTCACAGAGGATAAAAAGTCCCCAAAATAAATGTGTCGGAAAACCCATTTTGCTAATCACTCCAAGATCTGAGCCTCACTTGAAGTACTAGAGATGGGTGAACTCTCCTTATGTCATTTTCAAGAGGGTACACCTAACAAATACAAGCTTCCCTGGGAGAATCACAACTGTGCAATGGCAGTTTTTGTTTGGTTGGTTAAACTGCCTTTTTCGTATTTCTTTATTTGCAGAAGGAGCTTCTTTTTGGCAAGATACCGGATCCTTTCTTCACCTCTTGCAACTCCGTAAGCACAAAAGGGAAAGAAAACACTTGGAGTCAGAATTAAGAATAAACAGCTAATATCTTGAACTTGGGTAAATTTGGTGAATATCTAAAATGCAGCATGACTTAATAAGAAATATGGATCAAGAGGTCTCACAAAAATAAGTCACCTTCAGTAAAATAGACTTGGCTGCTAAAAAAACAGAGTTATATTTCCACTCAGCAACCAGACCATTTCTGACAAAATGATTCTACCTGGGAAATATTGGTGATCCCTGTTGAAATCAACACAGCTAAATAGGAGTGGTCCAAGTTACCCTTCCCTAGAGGCTGCAAGGCAGTTGTGAGCCCATAGTACTTTTTTCTGGCCTCTGTCCCACTAATTTAACTTCTCTAATGAAGAAGGGTAGACAACAAAACAGATAACATGTTTGGAAGAAAGCATTGAATAAGGCTATGCAAGACCATACAAGTTTACATACATTGACATCTACCTTTCTGTAAGGAAATGGAGATGGAAAATAGGCCCCTTTTATGATATGAACTGGCTGAAGTGAAAAAAAAAAAAGAAAAGAAACCAAATAAAGGTGACCAGCAAAGGATCACAACATGTATTTTCGTTTGAAAGTACTAGAAAAGAAAGGTGTAATCACTAAGAACAAATATAAGTTCCATAAAGGTTCAGAAGACATGTTTAAAATGTTAGCACATACATACACACCTTATACACATGCACACACACACACACACACATACACATACACTCATGACAACTTGCCATTTTGAACGCCTGTGACGACATGTCCACCCTGACTTTTTCCCTAGTAAATGGGCCTCTGTAACCAGGAAAACCACGTAATTAGGTGGAGAAGAGGGAGTCTCAGAAAAAAAAGAAAAAGCATGCCTTGCTTCTTTAAACCTTTTATTGATGGACAATTGTTATTCCCTCTTACTTTCTGTACCTAGTGTGACTCCAGCGAACCTTGCATTGGCAGTGGCTCATGGCCACCTTTTTGGCTGCGTGAAGCCAATCTACGGCTGCATGTACTCCTTGCTTTTCATTTCGAACAACAAAAGGAAGTATTGTATTTCAAGTCATTTGGAATGACAACCCTTCAGTTCTGAAGAAACTATAAAACTCACTCACATAAAGAAATTTGCTGGCTTTTCCTAAACTGGGAAGTATAGATCCACAAACTACTTCATCAGCAAAGCACAGCACCATCCTGGTACCCTTTTTTCAGCTACACTCTGGATACCAGTCCTGTGTTTGTGCTACAATAAGAAGGGAAGATGGAGTCTTCGAGAAGGCTTACGCTTCTATTGAGACCTTGCTGATACTTTACCTTTCCTTCATATAGCGTTTCTTAAATGTCTGATTGAAAGTACTGCATCTTCTTTGGTTTATTTATTTTAGAAATATTTTTGATCTTGCAAAGCTCAAAGAACAAAAGTCAACCTAACAGGTCCAAGGCAGAATAAACTGGTCAAATATTTTAATATAAAAGCTGCAACTTAATCCTTTAATAGCCAGGAAGGAGTTAGAAGATGGCAATCATACTTTTGAATGGAGTTCCCTCTATGGAGCACGAACATGTGTAAGTTCACTAACAACAAGACAGAAGAAATCTCATAGACTTTTCTGATACAGGAGAATGCCACAGATGTAAAGTATCCTCACTCAGTATTATATATGGCCAAGTGTCGTGTAATATATTTATGTACCAGAAGGAGAAATACAGATTGGATGATTATGTAGTTGCCCAATAAGTCTTCTTTAAAGTACCAAGGTCAACAAGAAGGAGATCTCCATTGATGTAAAAGATTGTTTAGCTTCAAATCCAAATAGCTCTCTCAGGCCTTACAAACGTAGTGTTAAGATGGAAGGACAGGGACCTATGTTTACGGAATCATTACGTCTTATCTTTCAAGGTTACTACAGTAGTTATACATTTTCTGTGCTTTGACCTAGCCGTGATTTTCCCCTGGGAATTTCTGAGTACTCTCCCACTGTCTTCTTCAAGGTCCTACCTACTGGAATCCATGTTGTTTTTACAATTAGCATGTTGACGCTGCCTTTCAACCTTCAGTTAAAATCCCTTTTGGTTAGGCCGGGCACGGTGGCTCACGCCTATAATCCCAGCACTTTGGGAGGCCGAGGTGGGCGGATCACTTGCAGTCAGGAGTTTGAGACCAGCCTGGCCAAACATGGTGAAACCCCATCTCTACTAAAAGTACAAAAATTAGCCTGGTGTGGTTGTGTGCACCTGTGGTCCCAGCTACTCAGGAGGCTGAGGCAGGAGAATCACTTGAACTCAGGAGGCAGAGGCTGCAGTGAGCTAAGATCACACCACTACACTCCAGCAAGAGAAACCAACAAAAACAACTACATGTATGTATATGTACATACACACACACACACATAAACACACAAAAATATATATACACACACACATTTATATATATATACACACACATTTATATATGTGTGTGTATATATGTGTGTATATATATGTGTGTATATATATATACACACACACATATTACAATTAGCATATGTAAAATTATAGAATGTGTCTTGCCATTAAAAATATCAAGTACAATTTGCCCTTAATTTCTTCAAAAAAGAAAGAATTATGACCAGATGGAATAGAACATAAATACATATATACATATATGTGTGTTTGTATGTATGTATATATATATATATATATACACACACACACATATATATATATACACACATACATACATACACACATTTCTTCCTGGTCTTTATGAGAGATTCTCAGTAACATTAATTTGAATCACTTTTGTAAGTTAAAAAGGTAAAGGCCATGCATCAGCAATTTTACAGTTCTACACAAAAACCACATCCAAATGTCTTGTGCTAGAAATTCACTAGAAATCATCACAATCTGAGGGAAATAATTAGTTTCTAGAAGTGTATGAAGACAATAAAGAAAAGCATTTGAAGTAGATGTTACCAATAATGTTAGCCCTGGGAAAAAATAAAACATTAATTGGACAAAGTTTAATGAGCTTCAAGCACATTTTTCTCCTTCACTTCACAGCTCTACCCCTTAAGATGAAGATATTTTTTCTGTTTGACACTGTTGAGGTCACTACTTTCATCAAACAACAATGTACTGTGCTGTACACTAACGTGGATGATTTTCTCTGTCCTTCCTTCTTTAAGGCTTCCTATAAACAGGGTTAAACAAAGAAATACTCTCTTTCTTAGAACTGAAAACATATAAAAGTAAAATTAATAATTGCATTTTAAATTGTTAATAAAAATGTTACATGGAATATATAAAATAATATAAATGACACTATGCAAAAAATATTGTATATTTGCAAATGAAAGTAACTTCACAATTTGGAAAGAATATTTTATTTATGTAGTTCCATTTTCTTAAAAAACTGCTTTTTCTTAAAGAAAAGTATTTCTGTAATTTCAAAATATATATATCTTAGGTCTAGAGTCAAAGTATTATAAATATTCTCTCACAAATCTAAATTATAATTCTTAACAATCCACAAAGAGCTTCCAAAATACTTGAATTATTATAGATTATAAAATTCTAGAATGTGTCTTGCCATTAAAAATATCAAGTACAATTTGCCCTTAATTTCTTCAAAAAAGAAAGAATTATGACCAGATGGAATGGAATATAAATATGCAAAATGCTAACCTATTTATAATATATGACCAGTAAGAAAGATGGGAAAGGGGAACTGAGAACATGTTGCCAAAAAGAAAAGTGACTAAAGGGAGATTTTGATAATTGTTACTAAGTTTCTGAACTTGATAGTTTTTATTAAGTTTCTAAACATTGAGAAGAAGTTATGAAAGCACAATTTAATGAATCTGTAGAACACCTAAGAATGAAAAGATGAGAGGGAGGTAAGCAAATATCCACTTTCTTCTTAGAGTGCTCTTACTTTCATAGCTTCATGTTTTAAAACAGTAAAATATTTTACATAAACATTATTAGAAGCATGAGACTTAAAAGTCCTGAACATAGAAACCAATGAAAATTTCTCTAAGCTTGAATTCTGTTTCTACTGTCTTTTCTCATCTTCATATCTAAGACTCTATGACGTGGCCGGACGCAGTGGCTCACGCTTGTAATCCCAGCACTTTGGGAGGCTGAGGCGGGTGGATCATGAGGTCAAGAGATCGAGACCATCCTGGCCAACATGGTGAAACCCTGTCTCTACTAAAAATACAAAAATTAGCCGGATGTGGTGGCAGGTGCCTGTAGTCCCAGCTACTCGGGAGGCTGAGGCAGGAGAATCACTTGAATCCAGGAGGTGGAGGTTGCAGTGAGCCGAGATTGTGCCACTGCACTCCAGCCTGGCAACAGAGTGAGACTCCGTCTCAAAAAAAAAAACAAAAACAAACAAAAAAAAAACTATGAGAATCTATGACGTATGGAGACCAGTTCATTGAAAAAATGAAGGTGAAAATAGTTGAGATTATTACATCTTTAGCCTCCAATCATATTTGTTTTAGGCAGGTATTATTTCATCTTGCCTAGTTCTGTGAAATGCTCTCATAAAAGTCCCCGACTCTCACCGTTTCTATCATAAATGTCCCTAATTCCCACCATGCTCTCAGACATATGGAAGAGCTCCTTTCTTGAATTTGTGACTCATATAGTTGTAACTTCACTTGCAGCATCAGTTTCAGTTTAAGTTCCCTTTATTGTCTCCTCTGAGGATATGGAAAGTTAGAAGCTGTCCAACAATTTCAGGCCAAAGAAATAGTATTGAACGGAATGATCAGTATTAGCATGGGTAGAAATGGAAATTACCATATAAATTATTTATCTGCATGGTTGAATTTGTTTGCACTTAACAAGTCAACTATGGGCAAGACACACTGCAGAATGATTCCAAGAATTAAAAACAGGCATTTATCTATTTGTCTGTTTTATTCTTGCCTCATTTCACAATGTAAACACAAAGAAATGCTTATAATAAAACTGAAAAATATAAGTCGAAAATAAAACAACAGGACAAAGTAAAATATAAATTAGAATGAGAAGTACAGGCCAGGAAGAAAATAAGCACAAATAGGCAACTCCAATGCCCTCTCACAGTTGTGGAATACAGAGTTCAATCTGATCTTCCAGAATGCCACAGCAAAAGGAAAGCACTTTGTTATTATTCATGATGCTGAAATGCTGTTATCCATCTGGGGAAGGAAAACTTCATTACTTACCTCTAATATAAATATCTCAAAATGGGATTGGGTAATGTGGTATAATGCCCTTAACCATGGTACTGGTTATTTTCCATTTGTTTCTCCACCTTGACTTTACTCTCCGCCTTTCTCTCCGTTCTGTGCCATAGGAGGCTTATCCTGCAGACCAGCTTTCCCAGGCTCCCTTGCTGGTTGGCTTCAGGTTGGGTTTGGCTGGAGACTAAAAGTCAGGACATGAGGGAGGCTGGAGAATTACTTCCTTGCTTCATCTTTGCTTTGGGCCCCACTTCTGTTACAGGCTACATTCCTTCAGGACCACAGCTATGTGGGGTGGCACTTCCCACGACTCCAATAGCCCTTCAGCTTTAAACTGTAATCCCTTACCACTTTGCTAAACTCTAGCTGCCTCTACATTTTTTCTTGATTCTCTTAACTCTGTTCACACCTGCCATCATTAAAGACTCTTTTTTTGAATAAATGGTGTGAATTTGTTTTCTTTCCAGGACTCCGATTGATACACATGAGTTCCCATAGCAAAGTATATTTTAAAAGCCTGCTTCTCAAAAGAAATGAAGGAACATAACAATAGCCTTCACAGGTATCTCAATGAAAATACCTCCAAAAGAGCCAAGAAAATATTTTCCAAGTATACAAAAACTGGCCATCTAGGGCAGCACTATTCAATAGAACTTTCTAAGATAATGGATATCTGTGTTGCCCAATATATTAGCCATAAATAATGTGTGGCTATTAAGCTCCTGAAACATGGTAGTGGGATTAAGAAACTAAATTTTTAATTTTATTTAATTAAGATTAATTTACATTTACATTTAAGTAGCCACATGTGAGTGGCTACCCTACTGCACAATGCAGGTCTATATTAATCCAAGGATAAAAATCCAGAGACTATCTGAATACATAGTATAAAAATTTTAAGTGAAACAACTCAGATACAGAAATACAGATACCGCATGTTCTCTCTTATAAGTGGTAGCTAAACAATGTGTACACATGGACATAGAGTGTGAAATGAGACTATGAGACTAGGAAGGGTCAGGGGGTCAGAGAGGGAGTTGGATGATGAGAAATTACTTAATGGGTACAATATACATTATTCAGGTGATGGGTATTTTTAAAGTCCTGACTTTATTATGCATTCTATCCAGATAACAAAATCACACTTGTACCCCATAAATTTATAAAAATAAAAAAAAACAAGTGAAAGAGTGTATAGTCTACTAGAGGGTTAAGAAAAGGCACTACCCAAAATAATACAGGGAAAATTAAGGTAAGTACAATGTAAAGGATTCAAATCTGAAAGAGGGAAAGTGCATGCCAAATCACAAGTATCAAGAAAATCTTTGCAGAGGATTTTTATTTTGAGGTGAGACTGGAAGATCAAATAGATTTTGTATTAGTTTTCTATTTCTATTAACAAATTACCGTCCACTTAGTGACTTAAAAGCACATACAATTATTATTTAAAAGCACATATATTTATTATTTGTTTTCTTAAAATTCTATATGTTGGAAGTCCAACATGAGCCTCACTGGGCTAAAATCAAAGTGCCAGTAGGACTGTATTTCTTTCTGAAGGCTCTAGGGGAAATATCCATTTCCTCACCTTTTCCAGTTTCTAGAGGCCATCCACATTTCTTGGCTTATAACCCCCTTCCTCCAACTTTATTTATTTACTTTTTTAAATTATACTTTAAGTTCTAGGGCACTTGTGCACAACGTGCAGGTTTTTTACATAGGTATACATGTGCCATGTTGGTGTGCCCTCCAACTTTAATGTCAGCAGCCTTCCATCTGTTTGTGCCTTTCCTCCCCAGACACATGTCCCTCTGATCACATCCAGGAAAGGTTCTCTGCTTTTAAAAACCCATGTGATTAGATTTGCCCCACCAGATAATTTTTAAAAATCTTTCCATCTCAAGATCTCTAACCTAATCATACCTGCAAAGTTCCTTTTGCCATGTAAGGTGACATGTGAAGGTTTCAGGGGTTAGGATGTAGACATCTCTGGAGATCATTATTCTGCCTACCAAAGAGTTTCAACAGCAAGAGGTAGGAAATGAAAAGGAAGGAATTGTAGGAGCAGGTGCAGGCCAAGAGCAAGGCAAACTAGAAACTGTTAACTATTAATAGCTCACCTGATTAGCCAGTGCCTTCTACTCCCTCTATAAGACATACTATGATGCGTGCTGGATACTCAGGGCTGGTAGGCTACTCTAGGATACCTGTTCACACTCACTTCTGCCAGATGAATTGTATGCTTACCAAAAGCCAGCTGTGTTTCTTGCTAAACCTATTTAGGCTAGTTTTTTGTTTGTTTGTTTCTGTAACACGTAATTAAATTAAATAGTCTAAAAACCAGTAGGACTAAGAAAAAAAATTAATGTTTTCATGCAAATTAAATTGAATGGTTTAGAAGGAATCATTAAATGTAAGGTACAAAAAATTTTTGCTGACAATTTAGATGTGGACAAGACAACTACAATGATTTTGGAGAAAATAGTAGAAATCTAAAAGGCTCTATAATCAGATTGTCTCTCAAATATGTTTCATGTATACTATGCATTATGGGTTAGGTTGATGCAAGAAGTGTTATGAAGAACTTCAATCAGATGATCCATGTTTTAAAAATCACCTTTATCCCCTCCGCATGTGAATGTGCGTCATATGTTTTCAGTTAAGGAATGTTTAAAGTGTATATACATATCATTTCTACACATTTTAATAATTTCCTTCTTTCAATGACTTTTTTCAATAACTGGATCAACAAAAATGTCACAGAAGAGGGCTTCTGTTGTATTTAAAAAGCAGAGATAATGCAATCACAGAAGTGGGAGAGTGGAAGAAGAATACACGTCAATATACGTTAAGTCGACATGGAGGAGGACCTCAAGTGTCACAGTGAGGAAGTTGAATGTTGCAATAGGCAATAAGGAAACAGTAAAGGTTGCTGTTTTTGTTATTTGATAGGAAAGGTTTTGAGCATATCAATTGGCATGCTTAGCAACTAAAGTATTAAAAAGCATGTTTCACAAAATAATATGGCAGATAGCAGGCTTACTGCTTGTATTTTCCATAGCCCAAGTCATTTCTCCCCATAGCAGAGGCTGCTGGGCTGCCCTCCACAAACTCCACCTTATCCCTTTGGCTCTAGGCCCAAACTGGAATATGGTAGCCACTGGCCACATGTGGCTATTGAGCACTTAATGTGGCTAGTCCAAATTGAGATGTGCTACAAGTGTAAAACTCAGATTTAAAACACTTAGTCTGAGAAAAAGAATGTAAAATACCCCATCAATAAGATTTTATTAATTATGTGTTGAAATGATAATGTTTGGTATATATTGGATTAAATAAAATGTATTAAAAATAATTTCACTTGTTCCAAACTTTTTTAAATGCAGTTACTAGAAAATCTAAAACTATATATGCAGTGGACATCTGTGGCTCACATTATACTTTTCTTCCGGACAGCAGTGCTGTAGTCTAGATCAATCCTAACATGAGACCGGAGGGTTAAACCACCCCATTTACCAGCCCTATCCTTTGGGACTCACATTCCTCTGACTGGCTGTCTGATCTTAAACAGGGTATTTGTCACATTTTTCTTTCATCATCTTGGGACATGGTCTGATTTCTTGGTTTTCGCCCTATAATGTTTAAGGCTCAACTTGCTAGCTCCATTAATTTGCCTTCCCTTGAAGTTTCCAGCCTTCCCCAAACCATGCTTTCATGATATCGACTGTTTTCTTCTAGAGAAACAGAGACTGCCAGGAGGATGAAGACCAAGAATAGGATATCAAATTTGGTGATTATGGAATCATCACTGACCTTCACGAGAATGACGATATCAACCAATTGAGTGGACAGCTGAACAGTTGTCAGAATTGAAACATCAATGATCTCATGGAGAAAGACCAGAGGAACACAACAGCACCTAATCAAATGGTAGAATAATGACGACAAAAGCCCATGCACATCCCTGAGCCAGTCCTCATCCACTGCTTTAACTAAAACTTCAAGGATGAAGGGCCTCCTCCCCGTCATTTATTATTCCAAAGTGTAGTGTTACCAAGTATACACTTAAAAGAAGCAGCACACAACTGAACAGTTAAGGATGACAGTGAGTTTAAAAAGAAAAAAAGAAATAATGTTGCAGCATTGGGACTGTATACAGAAGAGAAAAAGATGTCCTTGCAAATTGCCTCGCCCCCATACAAAGCTGAGTATGCCCTGATTTATTGCCCATCCAAGGAACTGGCCAGATTTTTTTCTAAAACCCTGGAGGGCAATCTTTGTATTCATGTTGCCTATGGACATGGCCTGGGAGACAAGCATTCTGAATCTATTTTAGAGGCAGTTCTAATTCTCTTGGGCTGCTGCGTAATCTCAACCGAAAAAGTGTTAGTACATATAGGCATATGCATATCTGAGTTTATGTCCATAACTATCTTATGTGTGTACATGTGTTTATGTGTGTGGGTATATTAATATATATCATTCAATAGATACTTAAAAATATTGCACAAAAAAAATCAAAATGGACAATTCACTGTCAAAGTAATGCCAATAAGGTCAAGTAGACAAATGTGTTTTGTTTTTCTTTTTTGTTATTTAAGTTCCTACATTGAACTGTATAATTTCTAGTGGTGGGTATTACTGCTTATATTCTTATCCCAAGGTACATCAATATACCTTGTAAAAAAAAAAGTTTTCTTCTGTTCTTCCACCTTGAAAGTAGTCAAGGGTTTTGCTGTTATCATGTGGAACAATTTAAATAGCATTGCTGGTTCTCAAAGCAATCTTCCTAGTGACCACATTCAAGGCAGTGTGGCATGGTAAAAAAGGGTCCTAACAGTGAGTCAAATAATGTGATTTTAAGCCAGAACTCTACTAACTGTAAATTTAGGCAAGACCTGTCACACCCCTGAGCCTATTTCCTTACCTGTAAAATAGGGTTAATAACCCTTGACCTGTTTTTCTCACAAGAGTTTAGAAAGGGTATCTGAGAATGGGCTTTATAAACTTTGAAGTACTAAGTGGAGGAATGAATAGCTATTATTATGGCTAAAATTGTTATTCTTAAGCAATCTTCTTAAGGATGTCTCATGCTTAAGAAGCAGCTCCAGCGATGAGTTCTTTGGTACAGTGAGGCAAGGAAGGAAAAATACAGATTCCAACACCCACCTACCTGTCCCATGACGTACTTCATTCATGAAATTCATGATGGAAATTTATATTTTCTTAGATTTCCCATTAGAAATATATTGGCTTCAAAGGAGGTAAAAGTCAAGATGTAACAGAAATTTTTATTCTAATTTGTTCTGAAATACGAGTTTTCAATCATCATGATTCCTTAAATTAGAATGTATCTGCAAAAATAGATACATGCAAGCAGTTTTTTCCTAAATTTTTTTCATGTAAGAGTATGCAGCCTGCTATGTAATGTCACACATTAAAATAACATTGGCATAGAGTGGGGGTAAAATCCTTTCTCTGGAAATAAGCATATGCTATTAAAATTATATATCATTTGTAGCCAACTACTAGAAAAGACTCCACACTGAAGTGTTTCAGTTCAGGATTAATTTGGAGTATTGTGACATTGTGCTAAAAGCATAGTGCTAGGAGGCAAGACTTGGGTTCTACTTCCAGATATTTTACTAACTAAACTGGGGACTTGAATAAGGCATTTACTTCCATGAGCCTTAATTTTCTCATGTGTAAAATAGATTAACACCACATGCCTACTTGCCTGTTTCATTAGGTCCTTATGAGGCTTGAAGTTTTAATAAAAATATCTCTGAAAAGAGCTGTGTCAACTATAATATGAGACACAGAAATAAAGAATTAAGAAAATGTTCTTAAATGAGCTTTACATGCAAGTTCGTAATATAGCTATTTTCCAGTTTCTTTACTATATGTGTAACCCATGGAGACATGTTGGTAATTCTGTTTTTCATACAACTATCTTAATGATAAGATACTAACCTTGACCTTAATAATAAGCCAGATAAAGGAGAATCAAATATGCTTTTCATCTTATTCCTCTCCACGGTTTTTGAGAAGAGCTCAACTTCCCCAAATCATACAAACTTTGGGTGCTCTTACAAAGCTATATTTAGAGAAAGCCACCAATATTGCTCATATACTAACATAGAAAGAAAATCTAAATTAAAAAGTATTAATGTTTCATCCTCTAACTATAAAATGAGTAGATATTAATAAAAAGAACATAAACAAGAATTTTCAAAGTTAAAAATTCCCCAAACACAATTAACTGACAGGACTATAATTAAGAATACAAGAGCAGACAATATAGAAAATGGCCTTGAAAACTTGATGTGTTTGTTAAATGCAGCAAAAGTAACTCTTAGAAGCAAAGTCATAACATCATGCATTTCATGATAAAAAATTAGAAAAAAAATAGGTGAATTTTTTTTTTTTTTTGAGACAAAGTCTTGCTGTGTCTCCCAGGCTGGAGTGCAGTGGCACAATTTCGGCTTACTGCAAGCTCCACCTCTTGGGTTCATGTCAGCCTCCCAAGTAGCTGGGACTACAGGCATCCGCCACCATGCCCAGCTAATTTTTTGTATATATACATATATATATATATAGAGAGAGAGAGAGAGAGAGTAAAGACAGGGTTTCAACCTTGTTAGCCAGGATGGTCTCAATCTCCTGACCTTGTGATCCACCCACCTCGGCCTCCCAAAGTGCTGGGATTACAGGTGTGAGCCACCGCGCCCAGCCAAAAATAGCTGAATATTTTAAGGGATTAAAAAAAAAAGCCTGTCTTAGTTTCTTTTGTGCTGCTATAACAGAGTATTTGAGACTGGGCAATTTATAAAAAACGGAAATGCATATGCTTATAGTTCTGGAGTCTGGGAAGTTCAATATCAAGGTGTTGGCATCTGACAAGGGCCTTATCTTCATGCTACATCATCACATGGCAGAAGGGAAAAGAGAAGGGAGAGAGGAAGACTGTGAGGCATTGGAACCACAAAGGACTCCAGATAGCCAAAACGATCTTGAGGAACAAGAACAAAGCTAGAGGCATCACACTTTCTGATTCAAAATATATTGCAAAGCTAAATAAGCAAAACAGTATGGCAGTGACATAAAGTTAGAGACATAGGCCAATGGAACCCAATAAAGAGCCCAGAAATAACTCCATGAATCTATGGCCAATTGACCTTTGACAAAGAAGCCAAGAAAACACAATGAAAAGATAGTCTTTGAACAAATGGTCCTGGAAAAACTGGATATCCACATGTGAAAAATATGAGATTGGACCTTTATGTTGCATGATCCACAAAAATCAACTCAAAATGGATTAAAGATTTAAATGTAAGAACTGAAATGGCAAAACTTTTAGAAAAAACACGGAAAAGCTTCATCACATGGGTCTTGGTATAACACCAAAAGCACAGGGAACATAAGCCAAAGTAGAAAAGTGAAACTGGCCAAGCGCGGTGGCTCACGCCTGTAATCCCAGCACTTTGGGAGGCTGAGGCGGGCGGATCACGAGGCCAGGAAATGGAGAACATCCTGGCTAATACAGTGAAACCCCGTCTCTACTAAAAATACAAAAAGAAATTAGCTGGGCGTAGTGGCGGGCGCCTGTAGTCCCAGCTGCTCAGGAGGCTGAGGCAGGAGAATGGCGTGAACCCGGGAGGCAGAGCTTGCAGCGAGCAGAGATCGCGCCACTGCACTCCAGCCTGGACTACAGAGCGAGACTCCATCTCAAAAAAAAAAAAGAAAAAAGAAAAGTGAAACTATATCAAACTAAAAATCTTCTGCACTGCAAAGAAAACAATCTACAGAGCAAAAAAGCAACCTACAGAATGGAAGAACATATTTGCAAACCATGTATCTGATAAGAAACTCATGCAACTCAGTAGCAAGAAAACCAAATAACTCAATTTGAAAATGGCCAAAGGAGTTGAATAGACATTTCTCCAAAGAAGACATAAATGGCCAACATACATATGAAAACATTCTCAACATCGCTTAATCATCTGGAAAATGCAAATCAAAACCACAGTGAGAGATTACTTCATAGACATTAGGATGGCTATTGTCAAAAAACAAAAGATAACAAGTGTTAGCAAGGATAAAATTCTGCAGCTATTATAGAAAACACTGTGGAGTTTCCTCAAAACATTAAAAATGTAATAGAACTGCCATTTGATCCAATAATGCTACTTTCGAATATTTATCAAAAAATTGAAATCATGATGTTGAGAAGATATTTATATTCTCATGTTCATCGCAGTATTATTCACAATAGTCAAGAAGGGAAAACAAACTAAATGCCTATTGACAGATGAATGAATAAAGAAAATGTAGTATATGCACACAATGGAATATTGTTCAGCCTTAAAAAGGAAGAAAATCCTGCCATAAGCAACATCATGGATGAACCTTAAGGATATTATGTTAAGTGAAATAAGCCAGTCATAGAAGGACAAATACTGCATGATGACACTTATTAATACATGCAGTATCTAAATTAGTTAAACTCATAGAAGTAGAAAGTAGAATAGTGATTTCCAGGAGCTGAGGGAGGGGGCAAATGGGAAGTTCCTGTTAAATGGGAATAAGTTTTCAGTTACACAAGATGAATAATTTCTATAGGCATGTACAAATGTATTAATATCTAGAGATCTGTTGTACAACATTGTGCCCATAGCTAATAATATTGTTTTATACACTTAAAATTTAAGAGGGTAGGTCTCATTTTAAGTATTCTTGCCACAATAATATACATATAATTTATTATATACTATTTGTATATGATATTACGTATACTTATGGAGTGTGTGTGGACATAGATACAGACACAGATATAGTCCCATAAGGACAAGAACTTTGGTCACCATTATTCATATCCCCAGCATGTAGAAGAGTGCCTGGTACATGGGAGACAATTTGGAAACATTTTTACATAAGTTTATTCGCTTCTATGAGAAAAAAGACAACCTCAACAAAAATAAGAAAATGAAAAAATAAAATTAAATAAGGATATCAGAAAATTGAACAGGAATATAATTAAAAAATAAAACCAAGATCTGAGTTGCTAAAAACTGATAAACACCAAAAATTTAATCAAGTAAAATACAAAGAAATAAAGGTGAGAAAAAATACATAATCAAAATAGAAACTAAAGTGAGTGACTACACAGTTGTATGAGAATGAATTTCATGTAATGAATAATTTCTATTTATAAAATATGATAAAAACTGAAAAACAAATTAGAGAGAAAATCAAAGAAAGCAGAGGGATTATATACATTTATAGATAAGTTATCTAAAATGATCAGGGAATAATGTCAATATTATATAAACCACTTCGAACATTTTAAAAAATGGTAAAACAATAAGTAAAATATTACCTAGGATCTAAATAACCTGATAACCATACTATTTTGAAAGCTACCGGCCAATTTTATTTATTAATATACATGCCAAAATGTTAAACAAAATGCAAGCAATTCAGATATTTACAAAAAAAACACACACCATGAACAAATGGAATTTGTCACAGGAATTTAAGGAATATTCAACATCAGAAAAATTATCAAAACAATTTATCACATTAATAGTACAAATAATAAAAACCACATTTCAATAGGCACCTAAAGGTTTTCCAAGAAAACACCAGAACTTATTTAAGAGTTTTCAGCAGAAAATATAAAAATAGAAAGATATTTAATTCAACTTCAAAAAAAAGTTATTAAATCCTTACAATGTGGAAGAATACTCAACACAAATGAGTTGTCTACTTAAAATCCTGAACTAACATTCTAAGTAATTGAGAAAACACTAGAGGTGTCCCATTAAGAACAGAAACAAAATTTAAATGCCCGTTTTCACTGTTTACTAATTAATACTGCATTTCAGACTTACAAATGCAATGACACTTGAATAATTTTAGATATCAGGGAGGAAAAATAAAATGTCAATTTCAGGCAATATTATTGTATACCTAGAAAAAAATTTTAAATCACCTATAAAATTATCAAAGCTATTAAAAGAGTTCAACAAAGTAATCAGTGATAAGATACTTATATAAATCCATAGTATTTCTCTGTTCCATTTCTATATCATTAAATGTACCAGAAATTAAAATAAAAACAATTTATACCAACAACAAAAATGTAAAATAGAGATGTTTTAAAAGAATGTAAAATTTATGTTAAACTGTGAATAAAAATTCTGGAAAGGAAAGAATAAATATTATAAAGATGAAAATCCTTCATAGGTTAATCTATAAATTAAAGCAATTCAAAAGTGAATCTTAACTATTCCTTATATAACTTGAAAAAATTATTTTTAAATTCATTTGCAGTGGAACTTCTTTTTTAAATTGAATCAAATTAGCAATCCCTGATGCAGTTACTTCCAAAAGCCCAATAAAATTACCAAGAAAGAGAAGCCCAGAATTAAAAACAACTCACAAGACAGACATGTAGACAAGCTGGTTGCCAGAATCCAAAAGGAATTTTCACTATCTACAAGTCCTCTGGAGCTGAATTGAGAGATACAACTGGTGGCTTCCTTCTGCTTAACAACAATAATAAAATTTTTTAGAAGTCCAAACAACAGTTAAAATAAAATATAAGGACACTAGTCTCTCATTCACAATATTATCCCTGGCTCAGAAAACTAAGGTCAGGACCAACCAGATTGTTGAGTAGCCATCATTTTGTTACTATGATATTCCTTTTTTATGACTTTTCTTTCAACCTTCTCTTCTATCTACGGTCATTCAGAGAAGGCACTTCTAGGAAAATATTGTTACAAAGGGGAAGGGTGTTTTACTATAATAAAAAAGCATAATTAGGCCAAGCGCGGTGGCTCACACCTGTAATCCCAGCACTTTGGGAAGCTGAGGCAGGCAGAACATTTGAGGTCAGGAGTTCAAGACCAACCTGGCCAACATGGTGAGGCCCCCGTCTCTACTAAAAATACAAACATTGGCTGGGCGCGGTGGCTCACGCCTGTAATCCCAGCACTTTGGGAGACTGAGGTGGATGGATCACGAGGTCAGGAGATCGAGACCATCCTGGCTAACATGGTGAAGTCCCATCTCTACTAAAAATACAAAAATTAGCTGGGCGTGGTGGCATGAGCCTGTTGTCCCAGCTACTAGGGAGGCTGAGGCAGGAGAATCGCTTGAACCCGGGAGGCAGAGGTTGCAGTGAGCCAAGATCGTGCCACTGCACTCCAGCTGGGCGACAGAGCAAGACTCTGTCTCAAATTAAAAAAAAAAAAATTGCGTAAGTGGCTGGAATGGAAATTCTCCTTCAGAAAAGGATTATAGGCAGGTGGGAAAAAAAAAAAGAAAAAGCCTTGGTAAAGCAAATTCATTTGGAGGAATACAGTCTGTCATTTACTCCATTGGTTCAGAGTACCAGAAAACCAGAAAGAGAAAACAGAAGATAGCACCTCTGGTGAGCAGAATCATAATATATGAATGCTGGAAAAACACTAGAATTGGGCTCAGAATTGAATACTACTAATTGTAGATCTAAGAAGGGATTTGGTATAGAAGACAGAAGAGGGAGAAGCCATGCATTTCAATTTTGTAAGTTCTCTTATAGATAATTCTCTTATTTGAAAATGAGTAAATACAACACACACACAAACATACACAACACAAGCCCTATAAAAAAGAATGCAGAAGAAGTGAGGAAGTTTATTATTCTAAAAATTAAAAGAAGAAGCAATTTTCTGTAGATAATCTTCGCAAGAGACAGAAGCCATTGTTAGAAAATTTTGTGTGATATTTTTGTTCGGGTGCAAAAATTAGATTTCCACACAAGATGATCAGAGAGCCATAAAAACAGGGAAAAAAGGAGACATGACAAAATAGTGGGGAATAAACTTAGATCTTATCAAAACAATTATGAAATTGACATATCCCCGTCCCTCAAATGTTGCCTGGCCCAGTTGGTTTTATGGGTGCATTTTGCCAAAATTTCAAGGAATAGATAATTTCTAACTTACACAGGTTGTTTCAAAAATACAGAAAATGAGATAAAGCTGTCTAAATCATTTTCTAAAACTAATATAATCTAATTTTCACAACTGGATAAGATCAGAACAAAAAATTAAACTGTTGGCCCCACTACCTCTGAAAATATAGATGCAAAATTCTAAATGGAATATTAACTGAATTCAAAATATACACTTAAAAATTACATCATGATCATATGGATTTTTCCACAGGAATTAAAATAAAATCTGTCATTGTAATTCACCATACCAAGTAATTAAATTAGAAAAATCATATGAATATATCAATGGATTTTTTTACAGCATTTGGAAGAGACTGATCTCAAGAATGACTGAGCAAAGATGTCTGAAAATTTGCTCCTTCGAAAAAGCAACAAGAACAACAACAACAAAACAAACAAACAAACAGAAAAAAATGTGAAAAATCAAACTTTTTAGAACTTTAGGGAGTAACCAAAGACTTACAACAATCCAAGGATCATTTATTCAAGAAAAATAGCTGGGCTGGGTGCAGTGGCTCACACCTCTAAACCCATCACTTTGAGAGGCTGAGGTAGGAGGACGACCTGAGGCCAGGAGTGAAAGACCAGCCTGGGCAACATAGGGAGGCCCCGTTTCTACATAAAATTAAAAAGTTCACCAGGCATGGTGATCCTCACCTGTGGTCCCAGCTACTCAAAAGGCTGAGTTGGGAAAACTGCTTGAGCCTGGGAGATCAAGGCTGCAGTGAGCTATGATTGTGCCACTGCACTCCAGCCTGCTAGACAGAGCAAGACCCTGTCTCAAAAAGAAGAAAGAAAAGAAAAGAAAATTGGCTGAACCTCAATATGAACAGTATGTTTTGTGGTGTTTCCCTTGTCCTGTTTACATTTCCCTCTCCCATGGTAGTCTTGAAAACCAATAGCCTGGCAATCATGGTAACTGTGAAAATCAGTATCCTAGCAGCACTGGAGGGTGCCAACAGGTTTGGAGCTGCCCAAAAGCCCAACTCCAGGGAATTGTTATTTGATGTGTCTAGCACTTTCCTTGGTAAACTTCATTTGCTGAACTCATCTTTATCTGACATGATTCAGAATTTGGTAAGTGAGAAGAATCTTTTCCTGAAGCATTTAGTATTCATCATTTAACATTGCAGCTGACTGTAGTATTGAGAAGAGTTGGGGCAAACAAAAAGCTGACCAAACAACATAAAAGTAAAATCTGAGGAATGAAATGTCCATAAGGGCTTTGAAAAGCTCCAACTGAATGCTTGAAAATCCAGAAAGCTACAGGCATGTACAGAGCAATGCCCAGGAAAGACCTAAAAACGACCTGACCTTTCACCTCCAAACCTGAACGTGAGGTTCTGTATAAGCAGGAAGTAAAGGCCAAGGTAGAGTTGTAAATTGCCTGGCTGAATGTTAAAGGGATGCGCAGCACACAGAGTCCCTCAGCAAAGGCTGGAAAAATTACTGACAAGCTATTTAAGTACTGTCCAAATAATAGCTACTTATTAAGCTATCTAAGCAGAGACTTCAGTAGTCACACACAAGACAGAATATAGGCTTTACAGAATTAGTTTAGGAAAGCCAATAAACAACCAAACAGCAACAATGACAACAAAGAGCAACAACAAACTTGGGAGTGGGATTTGATTCCCAGAGTTAAATTATTTTAAATCCATGTACAGTTCTCAACAAAAAATTATGAAACATTCAAAGAAAGTATGGCCTATACACAGAGAGAATAAAAGAGCAGTCAATAGAAACTATCTTGAGGAAGTTCAGGGATTGAACTTTCTAGATAAAGACTTTACATTGGTTATTGTAAATCTGTTTAAAGAATTTTTTAAAGCCATGTCTAAAGAACTAAAGGAAAGTATGAGAAAATGCCTCCCCAAAGAGAGAATATCAATAAAGAAATATGATGAATTATTTTTTAAAACAAATAGATGTGGCATATGGGGTATATGAGTAATCTCTAGGTCTTCAACTCAATTTTTCTGTGAACCTAAAACCACTCTAAAAAGTTAATTTCATAAAAAAATAGAAATTCTGGCATTGGAAAATAAAATAACTTCAAAGAAAATTTCATTAAAGGGTCTTAACAATACATTTGAGTTAGCAGAACAAATAATCAGTGAATTTGAAGTTTCATCAATTGAGATGATCTAATCTAAGGAAATGAAAGAAAAAAGAGTGAAGAAAAATAAGTAAATCTTCAGAGACATGTGGAACACCATCAAGCATAGCAACACACACAAAATTAGTCTTAGAAAAAGAAAGAGAAAAAGAAGCAGAAAGAATATTTGGAGAAATAAAGGTCAAAAACAACAATCTAAACATCCAAGAAACTCAGCAAACTCCAAATATGATCCACTCAAAGATATCCACACCAAGACATAGCATAATCAAACTGTCAAACGTCAAAGACAAAGAGAGCATCTTTAAAACAGCAAGAGGGAAGATATCACATTCAAGATATCCTCAATAAGATTAACAATTGATTTACCTTCAAAAACTAAGGAGAAGAGAAGGCAATGAAATGACATATTTGAAGTACTCAAAGAAAGACTGTAAACTGATTGCTGGTCCAAGATGGCTAACTAGATGCAGCCAGAAGGAACATTTTCCACTGCAGGACTGTGACATCAGGAAGCTTGAGGTACTCCTAACAGATCTTCAGACAGAAGGCATTGAGAGAGAATGGAGAAAGGACACAGATGACAGGCTAAAGCCATAGAAAGCTGGGAACCCTACATAAGGTTAATATGCCCTGGAACTTGTTCCTGTCCCTCCACAACTGCAGAAAGGGTGAGTTGAACAGGGAAGGAGCAACGCACTCTCACCATGGGCCTCTGGAATCCTGGCAGGAGGGGACCTCTTGTCCATTGCAGACACTTAAGTTGGCAAGAAGAGCTGCTTAGAGGAGTGGTAAAGGCAGAACTCCAGCCTGTACAGAGCTCAGAGGGTTTGGTGCAGGACTGTCTGTAGTGGAACACAGCCAGGGACACCCATCCCCCTAGGCTTGACTTGCTCCCATAGGAGACTTTAACCCTAGGCGAGCTATTGGACCTAAACTCTGCAGGGCAGTCTTGCCAATGAGATGGGCCAATCCAACTGGTGAATCCTCCAGTCTACTGGCCTCTCCTGGGGCCCCAGCCCCACCATGTCTCTTGCAGTACAGCCTCCAGGTACCTTCTGGGGGCCCACATCATAGTTCCTGCCCTGGAAGACTGGGTCTGACCAGCAGAGACCTCCAGCAGAGCGGCCCTGCACATACACATTGCCAGCTCACCCATGCCCTCCTCCCACTGTAGCCTCCTTCTTGCCTCTTGACCTGCATGCACTCACCCACAGCCACTCCCCACATCGCTTTGCTGGCAACTATGTACACAGGCAGACCTTGCCTTACCTTCCCCACCAGCCCCACCAGAAAGCATGTACACATGCACCCTGCCCCATGCCACTGCTGCCAGCATGAGTGCACCTCACCTTCTGCCCCACCCCCATACCACCATTGTTGTCTGGGTGTTGGCAGGCATGGAGCCCACCAGCACCCCTGGCATTGGCACTCCTGCCAGCATGAAACAAGGCAAAGAAAACAATGGACCAGCCCCCACCTTGAGCAGCCACCAGCACCCATGAGAATGTGCACAGAAGGCATATACAGTCCTGAGCCCCCCAGCACCCTGCCCCGGAGCTATCACCACCACCAGTGCAAACATACACACAGTCGTTGGTGGGGTTCCTCTCCCGCTCAAGCCAGACTGCCACTGCCACTGTTACAAATGCCTATGTAGAGGCTGGCACCCTGGCACCCACTAGCACCCTGCCACAGCTGACAAGCATGTGCCTGGCTGCACTGCTGCTAGCACATGTGAAGGAGGATGAATCCTGCTTCTGCTGCCCTACAAAGCTCTTGGCTGGCACCACCTATGGGAGCGTTGTGAGCAGCAGGCTAGGAGTACCTCCGCTTCCCCAGTGCAGCAGTTCCTAACCTCAAGGAGCTACAGAATAAAGCCAGCGCCTGACACAAGTCCCCCAGAGTTAGAGCATGCAGTCTAGAAGTCTTGAGCTCAAACTTGGCCCCCTAAAATCTTTCAGAAACAAAGCCAGTCAATTGAACTCACCTTATACCACAATCAAACCCTAAGGTTATCAAATAGGATACAAGAAAAAAAAAAAAAAACTCCATCTAAAGGACAGCAACTTCAAAGATTGAAGGAATATCAACCCATAAAGGTGAGAAAGAACCAGGCAAGAACTCTGACAACTCAAAAAGCCAGAGTGTCTTCTTTCCTCAAAATGACTGCATTACATCTCCAGCAAGGACTCTGAACTGGGCTGAGATGACTGAAATGACAAAAATATAATTCAAAATATGGATAGGGATGAAAATCATTGAGATGCAGGAGTATGCTGAAACCTAATCCAAGGAAGCTAAGAATCACAATAAAACAACACAGGAGCTGACAGACAAAATAGCCAGTATAGAAAAGAAGATAACTGACTTGATATAGCTGAAA
The DNA here is from genome assembly GCF_000001405.40 of Homo sapiens. Classification (NCBI taxonomy): domain Eukaryota; kingdom Metazoa; phylum Chordata; class Mammalia; order Primates; family Hominidae; genus Homo; species Homo sapiens. Next base: position 99,651,481 of record NC_000009.12, read on the forward strand.
AACACACTACAAGAATTTTATAATGCAACTGCAAGTATTAACAGCAGACTAGACGAAGTTGAGGAAAGAATCTCAGAGCTTTAAGGCAGGCTTTCTGAAATAAGACAGTCAGGCAAGAATAAAAAAAAAAAAGGAATGAAAAGGAATAAACAAAACCTCCGAGAAATATGGGGTTATATTGGTGTCCCTGAAAGAGTTGGAGAGAGTGTAAGCAACCTGGAAAACATACTCCAGGATATCACCCATGAGAACTTCCCCAACTTAGCTAGAGAGGCCAATATTCAAATTCAAGAAATCCAGAGAACCCCAGTAAGATACTCCACAAAAGTATCATTCCCAAGACACATCAGATTCTCCAAGGTTAAAATGAAGAAAAAATGTTAAAGGCAGCTAGAGATAAAGGTCAGGTCATCTACAAAGGAAAGCCCATCAGATTAACAGCAGACTTCTCAGCAGAAACCCTACAAGCCAGAAGAGATTGAGAGCCAATATTCAACATTCTTAAAGAAAAGAAATTCCAACCCCGAATTTCATATCTGGCCAAACTAAGCTTCAGAAATGAAGGAGAAATAAGACCCTTTTCAGACAAGCAAATGCTGAGGAATTTCATTACCATGAGATCTGCCTTACAAGAGCTTTGGAAGGAAGTGCTAAACATGGAAAGGAAAGATTGTTACCAGCCACTACAAAAACACACTTAAGTACATAGACTAGTGACACTATAAAGCAACCACACAAACAAGTCTGCATAATAGCTAGCTAACATCATGATGACAGGATCAAATCCACACGTCAGTACTAACCTTGAGTGTAAAGGGGCTAAATGCCCCAGTTAAAAGGCACATAGTAACAAGCTGGATAAGGAACCAAGGCCCATTGGTATGCTGTCTTTGAGAAAACCATCTCACAAGCAATGACACCCATAGGCTCAAAACAAATAGAGAAAAATCTACCAAGCAAATGGAAAACAGAAAAAGGAGGGTTTTCAATCCTTCTTTTTCACACAAAACAGAATTTAAACCAACAAAGATCAAAAAAGACAAAGAAGGATATTACATAATGGTAAAGGGTTCAATTCAATGAGAAGACTTAACTGTCTTAATATACATGCACCCAACCCAGGAGTATTCAGATTCATAAAGCAAGTCCTTAGAGACCTTCAAAGAGACCTAGACTCCCACACAATAATAATGGGAGACCATCACTCCACTGACAGTATTAGACAGATCATTGAGGCAGAAAATTAACAAAGACATTCAAGACCTGAATTCAACATTGGACCAAATGGATCTCATAGACCTTTACAGAACTCTCCACCCCAAAACAGCAGAATATACATTTTTCTCATCTGCATATGGCACATACTCTAAAATTGACCACACGCTGGGACATAAAACACTCCTCAGCAAATGCAAAAGAACTAAAATTATACCACTCTCTCAGACCAGAGTGCAATAAAAATAGAAATCAAGACTAAAAAAATCACTCAAAACCATACAACTACATAGAAATTAAACAACGGGCTCCGGAATGACTTTGGGGTAAATAAATGAAATTAAGACAGAAATCAAGAAGTTCTTTGAAACAAATGAAAACAAAGATACAATATACCAGAATCTCTGGGACACAGCCAAGGTAGTGGTAAGAGGGAAATTTATAGCACTAAATGCTCACACCGAAAAGTTAGAAAGATGTCAAATCAACAACCTAACATCACAACTAAAAGAACTAGAGAAGCAAGAGCAAACCAACCCCAAAGCTAATAGAAGACAAGAAATAACCAAAATCAGAGCTGAAGTGAAAGAGATTGAGACACAAAAAATCATTCAGAAGGTCAATGAATCCAGGAGCTGGTTTTTTGAAAAAATAATAAGATAGGTAGACCACTCCCTAGAATATATTAGAGAAGAGAGAAGATACAAATAATAAACACAATTAGAAATGACAAAGGGAATATTACCAGTGACCCCACAGAAATACAAATAACCATCAGAGACGCCTATGAACACCTCTATGCACACAAACTACAAAACATAGAAGAGATGGATAAATTCCTAGACACATACACCCTCCCAAGATTGAACCAGAAATAAATTGAATCCCTGAACAGACCAATAATGAGCTCCAAAATTGAACTGCCAAGGCAATCTTAAGCAAAAAGAACAAAGCGGAAGGCATCATGTTATCTGACTTCAAACTATACTCCAGGGCTATAGTAACCAACGCAGTGTGGTACTGGTACAAAAACAGACACATAGACCAATGGAACAGAATAGAGAGCCCAGAAATAAGGTCATACACCTACAGTCTCTGATCCTCAACAAAGCTGACAAAAACAAGCAATAAGGAAAGAACTACCCATTCAATATATGGTGCTGGGATAACTGGCTAGACATATGCAGAAGACTAAAATCGGATCCCTTCCATAAACCATGTACAAAAATCAACTCAAAATAGATTAAAGACTTAAATGTAAAACTGAAAACTATAAAAACCCTGGAAGACAACCTAGGCAGTACCATTCTGGACACAGGAATGGGCAAAGATTTAATGACAAAAATGCTAAAAGCAATCATAAGAAAAGCAAAAATTGACAAATGGGATATAATTAAACTTAAGAGCTTCTGCACCGCAAAAGAAACTATCAACTGAGTAAACAGACAACCTACTGAATGGGAGAAAATATTTGCAAACTATGCACCTGACAGAGATCTAATATCCAGCATCTATAAGGATCTTAAGCAAATTTGCAAGAAAAAAACAACCCCATTAAAAAGTGGGCAAAGTACATGAACAGACACTTTTCAAAAGGAGACACAAATGTGGCCAACAAGCATGTGAAAAAATGCTAAAAATCAAAACCACAATGAGATACCATCTCACACCAGTCAGAATGACTATTACTAAAAAGTCAAAGAATAACAGATGCTGTTGAGGTTGTGGAGAAAAGGGCACTCTTATACATTGTTGGTAGAAGTGAAAATTAGTTCAACCATTGTTGAAAGCACTATGGTGATTTCTCAAACAGCTAAAAACAGAACTACCATTCAACCCAGCAACCCCATTACTGAGTATACACCCCAAAAAATTATAAATCATCCTACCATAAATACATATGCACATGTATGTTCATGACAGCACTATTCACAATAGCCGAGACATAGAATCCACCTAAAGGCCCATCGATTGTAGACTGGATAAAGAAAATGTGGTATATATACACCATGGAATACTACAGCTGTAAAAAAGAACAAAAACATGTCCCTTGCAGGAACATGGATAGAGCCGGAGGCCATTATCCTTAGCAAACTACTGCAGGAACAGAAAACCAAATACCACATATTCTCATTTATAAGTGGGAGCTAAATTATGAGAACACATGAATACAAAGATGGGAACAACAGACTCTGGGGCCTACTAGAGGGTGCAGGGCAGAAGGGAAAAGAGCAGAAAAAATATCTATTGGGTACTAGGCATTGTACCTGGGTGATTAAATAATCTGTACATCAAACCCCTGTGAAATGAGTGTACCTATGTTACAAACTTGTACATGTAACTCTGCACACAGGTTCAAACCTGCACATAGTTCACTAAAATAAATTTTAATAAATAAATAAAATGAATTATCCTTTTACCCCATTAATTATAATTATTATCTAGACTCTAATTGATTTTGACTTTGTTTCTGTTAACTATTCACATTTGAACTAACATTCTTATCCTAAATGACTCATAGGTTTAATTTTATACTTATGAAGGTCCTCCTAATTATTTACAAGAAAAAATACTGTAACTCAATAATTCTATATGCAGCAAAACTATCTTTCAAAAATGAAGGAGACATTAAGACATTCCCAGATAAACAAAAACAAAGAACTTGTCACTAGCAGAATTACCCTACAAGAAATACTAAAGGGATTCAGTCCTTCAGACTAAAATAATAGGACACTAGACTGTACCCACAAGAAGAAATAAGAGCACAGGTAAATATAAAAGATAGTATAAATGCATTTCATTTGTAACTCTTTTCTTCTAATTTAAAAGAAACTCACATAAAGTAGTAATTTTAAAACTGTTCATTGGCTTATAGGGTATAAAGATGTAATTTGTATGATAATAATAGGGCAAAGGAGGGAGGAGAGAAAAAAGCTATATAACAGAAAATTATTGTATGCAATTGAAATTAAATTGATATTAATCTAAAGTAGATTGTTATAAATTAAAATGTCCTTCTCCATGTTTATTGCAGTGCTATTCACAATAACCAAGATATAGAACAAAATTAAATGTCCATCAATGAATAAACAGATAAGGAAAATGTGGTATATATACACAATGGAACATTATTCAGTCATAAAAATAATAAAATCATGTCATTTGTGCAACATGGATGGAATTGGAGGCCATTATGTTAGTGAAATAAGCCAGGCACAGAAAGACAAATATTGCATGTTCACACTAATATGTGGAAGCTAAAAAAGTTGATCTCATAGAGATAGAGAGTAGAATTATAGTTACCAGAGGCTGAGAAGGGTAGAGGTGGGGGATGAAGAGAGGTTGGTTAATGGGTGCAAACATACACTTAGATAGACAAAATAATACAGTTATATCTGTATAGCAGAGTGACTACAGTTAACAACAATTTATTACATATTTCAAAATAGCTAGAAGGGGAAATTTTAAATGTTCTTAACAAAAAGAAATGATAAATGTTGAGGTGATGGATATCCTAAATACCTTGATTTGATCATTATATATTGTATGCATGTATCAAAATACCACTGTGCCCCATAAATATATATGATTATCATGCATTAATCAAAATTTTTTAAATAAAAAAAGTTAATTATAATCCTCAGACAACAACTAAGAAAATAACTCAAAAAGTATATAGCAAAAGAAATGACAAGTGAATTAAAATAGTACACTAAAAAATACTTAACACAAAAGAAGGAAGTAATAGAACAACAGAGAAACAAAAAAGACAAGTTATATGGAAAACAAATAACAAAATACCAGATGTAACTCCTACCTTATGAGCAATTACATTTATAGTAAATGGATTAAATAGTCCAATCAAAAGGCAGAGATTGATAAAATGGTTTAACAAAATAAGCCAACTACATGCTTTCCATCAGAAATACAGAATAGATTCAAAGACACAGATAGATTAAAAGGAAAAGGATAGAAAATGATATGCCATACAAACAGTAACCAAAATGGAGCTGAAGTGACTATTCTAATCCCAGAAAAAAAGGCTTTAAGTACAAAATAATTAATAGAGACAAGGTAAAACGTTTTTAAATGAGAAAAGGGTCAATTCATCAGGTAGACATAGTAACTATAAACAGAGATGTACCTAACAACAAAATACATGAAGCAATAACTGACAAAATTGAAGGAAGAAATAGATGATTCAACATTATTAGTTGGAGAATTAAGTATTTCACTTTCAATAATGGATACAACACCTAGACATAAGAACAAAAAGGAAAGAGAGTATGATGGTAAATTTTATGTTATGTGTATTTTGCCAAAATTTTTTAAATTGGAGAAAAAAGCGTTGAACAATACTATTAAACAACTAGACCTAACAGATATCAACAGACTACTCCACCCAACAATAGCAGAATACACATTCTTCTCAAGTCCATATGGAATATTCTCCAGGACAGGCCATATTTAAGGCCACAAAAAAAGTCTCAATAAACTTAAAATTATTGAAATAATATGAAGTATGTTCTCTTTCCACGACAGAATGAAATAGATAAACTATTAGAATTAAAAATAGTACTCAGCAAGGCTGTCAGAAACAAGACCATCCTATGAAAATCAATAGCATTCCAGCACCACATAGAAACTGTATTTTAAAATAATACATAGTTAGCAACAAACAAAAATCTAAAAGGCCTTCTTACACCCAATTACCTCTGATCGGTGCCCCGCAGGCCCCATGGACTACAAGGTCCTCATGGGTCTTGACCATCTCCTCAATGCTGACCTCCTTCTTCATCCCAACCCCAAAGGTTCTACCAACTGTAGCTGCCTTCTCAGTCACAACTACTTTCTTGACCCAAACTTGAAACCCCAAATTTCTGTTTATCTGACAGGAAAGGAAGAGAAGGGAAAGGAAAGGAAGGGAAGATGGAAATTTCTTTGTTGATGTAGTATGGAGATAAGAGCTCTTAAAAAAAGAGAGAGAAACTGATTAATGCATTGCTGAATTTATACCTTTATTATGTTTTCTTACAAAAGTTATTTTAAAAAGAGTAGGATAAATTATAAGGAAAATGTATAAGACTTGAAGGACTCCTGGTACCAACTTCTGCAATAGTTGAGACTCTTTTGTCAGAAGCTCAGAAAGCGACTTCTAGCACTTAGGCATGCAAGAAAAAGTAATTAATTGGTTAAGCATCATAGATTCAATGAACCAAGTAACACACAGGCCACCAGGGAGAATTAGAACCAAACAGTTCCAAACATCGCATTGGCAGGGCATTGCAAATGGGCTGACTGAGCTCCAACGGCATTCCATACTTGGAAGACTTCTCTCAAGATTCAGAATTCCAAAGAGAGTCTGATTGGCCTATGTTGATTTCTGTGCTCATCCCTTGACCAGAAAAGCAGAGAAACAATGTTTTTGAGCTTCACTATTTAATAGATATGGGGCAACTTCTCAAAGGAAAAGGGATAACTTTACTAGAAGGGGAAAGATGTACTGGGTAGACAGAAGCAACAAATATACCTATCACATTTTCTATAACAGTAATTATGCTCACTCAAGGCAGAAGCCAACCCTCCTAGTGGTGAATTGCACATACCATCTATGAAAAGATCACAACCCAGAAGGCATAGGCAACTGCCACGGATCTAATGAATAGGTGATCAGAAGACCTCCCAATACTCTTGAAAGTACTGAGAACTGATTCCCTATTCTCTCACCTATGACCAGCCGGAGAGAACCATATTTTCTGGTCTTCCAGATGAATCCTATTCAAAATATTATTCACTGTGAGGCTATAATTATTAGTCCTTAACTTACTACTTAACAGTAGCCCTCTTCTAAGCTGTTATCTCTCTGCCTGTTGTTTGGCTTAGGAAATTCCTGCAGGACCTGCCTTGACTTTGAACCTTTTTTATCTCACCTTATTTGTCTTATTCCCACTACATTAGTTAAAACAAAATTCCCCTTTCCTGTCCAGACACATCAGACAGATACCACCAATAAGACCCTCCCTGCTTACTGGCAAGAGCATATCAAAAACACCTAGACAGTTTTCCTAAAAGGAGACCATTAAAAAATAAATTCAGAACCTAAACCAAACTTCTAGGTGTAATTCATTTGACCTAGACTTCTTCAGTGAACATGCCAAGATCTTGTATGTAATGAAGCAGTACTGGTACATTAAAAGCCACTCATGCCACTCTACTGTTTAAAGTCCTTTGCCAGAAATAGAGCAAAACTCAGACTCTTTAGACTGGCATCAAGGTTCTTCACACTTGGGCTCTAAACTCTCTCTCCAGCCTAGTCAACCTACATTTCATGCATACTCCAGCCACACTACACTATTTGTTACTGCCCAATATTGCACATGCATTTCACACCTCTGTATCTTCCTATCTCTTGTTCCTTTGGCTTAGCCTGTCCTTCGTATACTACTTCCACCTGGAAATAATCTTCCCATCATTTAAGATCTACTTTGTGTTATCTTTTCTTCATCAGTCTTTCCCAGCAGGTTGCTTCCTCCTTCTTCCTTGCCAACCATGTTAATTTGTACATTCTTCTTGTTATTGCACTTGTACTGTTTACAGACCTGCCTTTGTCATCAGATTAGGAATCCCTTGAGGTCAAATAATGAATTAAATTCACCCTTGAACCTCCAGCATCAAGTACAGTGGTTGGTGCATAGTAAGCACTCACTATATATTTGAACAGCGAAGAACTTAATAAATCCAACTTGAGATAAGTTACCACCCATCAAGTTTTGTGGGATTCTAAATACCCTAATAAACCATGAAGGCACTCAACATTCTCAGAAATGAAAATGAATGAAAAAAAAAGAATTTTTCAGTCTTTTGTTTGACAAAATGTTGCTTATATAGACATTATATCTAAACAATAAGCTCCATACCCTAGCCACGCTCAGAGATATCTGCGCAACCTGACACCTCTCCTATAATTCTTCTTTCTACTCACAAAGAAAAAAACAGAATGTTTGAAGCCATTTCTCTATTCTCAGAAAATATACCCCATGTATGTCTTCTCTAATTCCTATATATTACAAGGTCAATTAATTATAGATCCACAGAGCTGGAATTATCAGAGACCTTTTGTACTCATCATTTTATAGACAGAATAACTGGGCCTAAAGAGGTGAAATCACTTCCCCAAGGCCATAAAGCAAATCAGCAGCAGCACTAACCTAAGTCTGTTGCTTCCTAATCATCTTACCAAATATTCCCACAGAGATAAAAATTAATTCTCCCACCCACACATAAGCCTTGCAACCACCGGTTCACTTACAAATTATTCCAGGATAATTGTTAATAATTATTACTAAACATGAACAGATTTGGATACTAAATTGTAACAGATAAACCTGCACACACAAGTACTGCTACTAGTACAAAACTCCATGACACAGTTGACCAGTGTCCAACTTAATCGATAGGATCCTTTGGTTTGTTTGTGTCGTATGTGTGTGCACATGTGTGTATGTAATTTTCCCCCCAATTTCTATTAGCACTGTACAAAAAAAGGAAGTTGAAAGTGAGAAGTCTTCTATTGTTGCACAGACATGTGACTCTTGTCTAAATGGCATTAAAATTGTTCAGACATTGAAATGAAAGCAAATGTGCCTGTACCCATCACATTACGTAGGAAAACCAATGTAGGCTGAGTTGCATGTCACCAAATGCCCCACATGTGACAAACAGAGAAAGTGACATAATCCAAGTATTCAGCAAAAGCAGCCCACAGTAACAAATGCATCATTTCTGAAGAGGAAGAGAGAGCAGATGGCTCAGCAAGCAACTGTGGAACAGCCAGCTTCCCCCTCCGCACCTCCAAAACCAAATTGCCTCCCAGTATCTCATCCTAGGCACTGCAGAAACTCAGAGGCAAAACGCTTAAGCACCACAGTAGCAGCGGCCAGGGCAGGAGTCTCAGGTCATGGTGCCCTGAGCTTGGACCCAGATGACCTGAGTTCACAGCAAGATTCTGCTTCTCGCTTTCTATGTTACCTTAAACAAGTTACTTAATTTCTTTAAATTTTATTTCCTCATCTATGTTATATAGGATCAGTAAGACTCCATAATATTCTAGGACATATTGACACGAAAGTGCTTCATGAACTACAAAGTACTCAACAAATGTTAAACTTCATTAATTAAAATGTACCGATTGGTTAGAACTAATACAAGCCAATCTGAAACCTAATAACATATATCATACACAGTGTATGGAGAGCCCTAGCCCTAGTTGATCACGGCTTCACAGATGCTTTTTAAGAGTGGTCAGCGAATTGTGGTTCTCTCTGCTAAAAAGTCACCATGACTATCCTTCTATCTTAAGGGTGGGATAAATCTATTCCATTCATTCCTCATTCAACAGTGGATGCTCAACATGTATTGAACATCCACTGTAAGCCATGCACTAGCTAAGTGACAAAAGATATAGTAGCTGAGGCGTTTTGGATGCTAATTTCTCTTAAAGATAATTATCTCTTTTTCTTTTATTGTTATTGCTTAAAGGGCAAACACCATGGAAAACAAAATAAATATTTAACTACATCAAGAAAGACTAGAGTCAGATATTTCTGGATTATTTGTTGCATCAGCCTAAGAAATAATAATGGCTTATATTGCTAGTACTTAAAAAAAAAAGCTACCATAGGTGTTAACTGACTTAATTATCATACTAGCTGTATGAAAAAGGAATGATTTCCCACTCTTATGAAGCCTAAATGCAAATCTGAGTCTAAAACACTCTCCACTATACCATATTGTCTCTCACTTTAACACCAAGGGTTATCAAGGTGGGAAAAGAAAAGTATCTTCTGGCAAGATAAATCATAATTGTTTTCAATACTCTAGTGTACATTGTTGAGGCAGAGAGATTCCAGGACTTCACTTCCCTCAAACAGCTAAAACAGCTGTTTAGATAAAAACAGCTAAAACAAGCATTAGAAAAACCATAAAAGTGGGACTGAGTAATTTCAATAATCCCTTTTGCTACTGTTTTAATCCCACACAATACATGTATTTTATTTGTTTATTCACTGACATTCTGCTAACTGCAGGAGAAACTCCCAAAAGCTAAGACTAGACTAAAATAGTAGAACACTACTAATTGGCGGATCAATAAACTACTCCATTCTGTTTGCATAAATAGACATTTTGATGGTAATCCTTTGCTTTGATGGCAACCAAAATAGATTAACTGGATCTTTAATAGATGTATATAATAAAAGCCACAGACAATATGCCCTGAAGATCGTCAATCTCATATCCTGGCAGATGGTAGAAATGGAGGAAGGGGAAAAGGAAGGGAAAGAACATTCCTGGAGCAGCTGTTGCATGTGGGTACCACACTGGGCACTTTAAATATTTTAACTCTTTGCAGTTTCATCCTAACCCTACATACAATTTTACAGATGAGGAAACAGAGGCTCAGAGAAGTTAAGACCAGTCCCATCTCTTCACTTGGCCCTACATTATCTTTCAAAATACTCTGATGTGGAAAGGCCAGAGCACACGTGTGTTACAGAGGACCACCTTGGCTCCTGATGCTCCTTAAAGAGGCCACGACTTGTGTGTCATGATTCAGGGATTGGACTTGCTGCCAAGGTCACAGATGGTACACTTGAGATCCCCTAGCCTATGTACAGAGTAGTCCCCAAGAGAGGGAAGGGTAAAGATGAAGCCTTAGAAACACAAAATTAGGACATATACAGGGAGAAAGAGAAATACGAGATGTGAAAGAACAACAAAAGTGCAAATCCATGGCAGTCAAGGATGTGTTAAGAAATAGTAGGTGGTTAAAAGCTATGACGGTCAGTAGAATAACAGCTAAGAACTGACCTCAAGCTTTAGGATAAAGTCTCTATTATCCTGCAAGACCAGAATATCGGTAAAATTGGTGGAATTAACTATTTTTTTTAATGATTATAAAACAGGACAATGCATTTTATGATGGAAAATGGGTAAGCACATAAAAATACCCTTGAACAATGTGGGAGTTAGGGGTGCTGACATCCCCATACAGTCAAAAAGCCACATATAACTTTGGCCTCCCCCAAAATTTAGCTGGGTTAACTATGTTGACCAGAGCCTTACTGATAACATAAACAGTTAATTAACATATATTTTTCATTTTGTGTGTATTATATACTGAATTCTTATAATTAAGTTAGAGAGAACACATTATGAAGAAAATCATAAGGAAAACAATATACGTACTATTCATTAAGTGGAAGTGGATCTTCATAAAGGTCTTCATCCTCATCATCTTCTTGTTAAGTAGGTTGAAAAGGAGGAGGAAGAAGAGGGGTCAGTCTTGCTGTTTCATGGGTGGCAGAAGTGGAAAAAAAATCCACATGTAAGTGGACCCATGCAGTTCAGACCTGTGTTCTTCAAGAGTTAACTGTTTAAAGGTGGGGGGAGGTAAAATCACCATAATTCCACCCTGACATGATTGACTTTTTTAAAAATTGTTAACATTTCAGCATATTTTCTCCTAATGTTCTTCTGGGTACTTTTTACACAGTTAAAATCATACTGACCGTGTAATTTTGTATGCTATTTTTTAGTTTAACACTGTCTAGAACATTTGCCCAAGTCTTTAAAAACTCCTATCACTAATCTTGAATGCCACTGAACCACAGACATTGAGGGTAAGCTCAATGCTTTATTCTTTTTGTATATTTCCACAGAAATCAGCACAGTCATTTTCAGAACAGAGATATTCAAAAAAAATTATTGAATGGAATTGCAGCACCAGTGCACTCTCATCTTCCCTTAATTTACCAGTCATCTGATGCCCCTTGTCTATGGTTCATTTTATGGTACATTGTGTCGGCTCTCAGGATGTTTTATATAATCTGTTTCAGGCTCTCCCTAACTGGACAGTGTGTGTCATGAGAGAAAGAAATTCATACCTTGAATTCCTCTTCTATCTTTTGCTTTCTATCTTCACCAACAGTGCCTACCATAATGTCCCTTCCACAGAAGATAATTTAATCTCATTACATTAAAGTTACATCTATAAAAATTCAAAGAAGCAGCATATGTTTTATTTATACTGGTGATGCTTCTAGCACCAATAAAGCCTTTATATGTTTTCCTTAAGCATAGTCCCTAGATTCATATCCTCTGTTTTCTTTCTTTCTCTTCCCTTTACAGTAGACTGAAACTGTATATACATACATATAAATCAGAAACTACAACCTTCATGATCTTTTTTTGGAAGACAACTTTGTTGAAGAGAGATTACAGAGGGGCAAGAATGGAAACAGGAAGACCAATTAGGAGGCTATTGCAAAAATCCAGAATCTATTACTTCCAAGAGCAGAACTTCATGTGTAGAAGTCATATGCAGACATATGGAGTGGGCTGCCTCAGGAGGCAGTGAGCTTTCTGCCACTAGAGGTGCACAAATAGAGAACCACTTGGCAAGGACATGGACAAGGTTGGCCTTATAACCTAAAAGTCACTTCCAACACTGAGACTCCATGATCGTTGCCTAGAGTATCTCATGCCCTCAACAGCCTAATAACCCCACAAACATATTCACTCTTTATTTTGATTATACAAGCACAGTATAATCACCATAGAAAATCAGAAGGTAGAGATATTAGATAAGCAAAAAGAAAAGAAATAAAAATACAGTCCCAACAGCCAGATATAGTCATGATTAGGACCTAAGCATGTGTGTACATGTGTGTGTGTGTGTGTGTGTGTGTGTCCCCTTCTATTACATTAACTTGTCAGATGTATCATTAGACACATGATAGAAAGCATGGGTCTTTTCCTAACTAAACAAAATCTCCATCTTTACGGTATTTTATAATCTTCTTTTAAAATTCAATATATAATGAATATATTCCCCTGTCAATTTATATTTCTTGCTAGAGTCAGAAACTTCCTATAACAGCCTGAAGTATTGAGTTATGTAAATAAAATAGAAACTGGCAGGATACTTACAGTCTTAGGAGATTTAGATAATGAGATAATATCATTACTCCATGAATGCCTCCCACTAATTCTAAGTGGGATATTTGAACTGTCTCCCATTATAATATTTCACAGTCCTCTCCCAGTTTCAGCACTCTTCCCTCCATCATCATAACAAGCTATATCCCATGTCAAGTGACAGGAACATAATCAAAAGAGAGTGAAGAAACATCTGTTATCCTAACTGAGCCTCAGAGGTCTCATCTTACCCTTCCCTTGTAATGTCTGGGCATCTAATGATATTATAACCATCATTCATTCCATAAGAGCTTAGAAGTTTCCAAGTGTCTCAGGTTTATTCATCATCTTAGCACCAAGGGGAACATCTCAGTAGTTCCTTAGATGTAATATCTGTAGATTCATTTAAAAACAAATATTTATTGAGTATCTACCATGTGCCAGGCACCGTACTCAACAACTGGGATAAAGCAGTAAGCAAAAGATGAAAAATATCTGTCTTCATGAAGCTTTAATTCTTGTTGTAGGAAACAGACAATAAAAACTAAGTTGGTTGTATGGTGATAGATGCTGTGGCAGGAATGAAAGTAATAAAGGAGGATAAGTGAAGACATGAAGGAGGAAAGGGGATTGTAATTTTAAATAGCATGGTCAGGAAAGTCCTAAATAAAAAGGATGGCTTTAGAGCAAAGACCTGAAGTAGGGAAGGAGGGAGTCTCACGTGTATTAAGGGAAGAGCATTCCAGGCAGTAGCCCCGAGGCAGGAAAGTACTTGGGCATGTTCCGGACACAGTATGGAGTGACATGCTGATCCAGTATGGAGGCCAATGTGGGTGGAACAGAGTGAAGAAAAAAGTAATAGAAGATGAGGTCATAAAGGTAGCTGGAAGCAAGATCACATAGGACCTTGCATATCATTGAATGTCTTAAATTTTTATCTGAGGGAGGTGGAAACTATTGGTGAGTACTGAGCATGAGAGTGACATCATATGACTTGGGTTTTTGAAGGACCCCTTTGTTGAGAGTAGATTACAGAGGGCAAAAGTAGAAGCATGAAGACCAACTAGGAGGCTGGAAAAATCCAGGAAATGATGGCTTGGAGCCATGTAGGGGGTAAGAGGCAGCCAGATCCTATATAGATTTTGAAAAAGCAGCCTCAGGATATGGTGAGAGTTTTGATACGTGTTGTAAGAAAGAGAAGAGTTAAGGATGTCACCAAAATTTTTGGCCCTGGAAACTGAAAGAACAGAGTTATCATGTGCTGAAAGGGGAGCACTGTAAAAAGAGTAGGTTTGTAGTGGAGGAAATTAGGAATTCAGCTTTGGACGTTAGAGTTGATTAGCCATCAAAGAGGAGCTGTTGAATAAATAGATGGATCTGTTTAGTCTGCACCTTGGGGAGTTTAGGTTAGAAAGTTGAGAGCTATCAGCATATAGATCAGGGGAGTCCAATCTTTTAGCTTCCCTGGGCCACATTAGAAGAAGAAAAATTGTCTTGGGCCACATATAAAATACACTAACACTAATGTTAGCTAATTGAGCTCGCAAAAAAATCACCAAAAAAAATCCATAATGTTTAGGTTTTTTATTTTATTTTATTTTAGACGGAGTCTCGCTCTGTCGCCCAGGCTGGAGTTTGTCATCTTGGCTCACCACAACCTCCGCCTCCCAGGTTCAAGCAATTCTCCTGCCTCAGCCTCCTTAGTAGCTGGGACTACAGGCGCATGCCACCACACCCAGCTAACTTTTGTATTTTTAATGGAGACGGGGTTTCGCCATGTTGCCTAGGATGGTCTTGATCTCTTGACCTCGTGATCCACCTGCCTCAGCCTCCAAAAGTGCTGAGATTACAGGCATGAGCCCCTGTGCCCGGCCAAAAATCTCATAATGTTTTAAGAAAGTCTGTGAATTTGTGTTGGGCCACATTCAAAGATGTCCTGGGCCACATGCAGCCCATGGGCTATGGGTTGGACAAGCTTGATATAGGTGGTATTGACAGCTGTAGACTAGAAGAGATAACTCAGATAGTAAGTGCAGATTAAAAAAAAACAAACAGGTCCAAGAACTGAACTTGGAAGCCTGCCAATATTTAGAGGTCAGAGCCCATGTGGTAAAAACAGAAAGCATGAAAAAACATCAAACAGATACTAACAGGCATAAAATCTTTATGCAAACTTCAGGAAAGGTGGAAGTCAAAAGTTCTAAGAAAAAGGAAAGTAAACATCAGCATTTTGGTGATCTTGAGATGTGCAAGATGATACAAGACCATAGCAGTGTCTGATTCTGGAGAATGAAAGGTAAGAAATATTAACCAGAGCAGATTTTATCCTTGCCATGTAATGGTGACTTCAGAACACCACCATTAATTCCAGCAAAAGCCACTTCCAACAATATTCAACTATAATTTAGATTTAATAATCACATTATATCCCATTATATGAGTATTAAATAATTTATTTAAATAACTTCCTATTTCTAGACATTTACGTTTCTAAATCTCTTGGCTATTTTAAATATTTTTAATGAACATTCTTCCAACCACTTCTTTGCAGATATTATTATTATTTCTTTGAAATATATTTTCTTAAGTATAATTACTAGATTAAAGGTGGTACACTTTTTAAAAAGACTTCTAATATGTATTTCTGGATTGGCCTTCATAAGCTAGTACCAATTTACATTCCTACTAATGGGGTATAAGTGTCTTTCCAAACACTCTCCAATGCTAGATTATTTTCTTCATTTGTAATTGTTAGAAAATCACATCTCTTTCTTTCTCTTTGAATCTCTTAATTATAGAATTAGATTTTATTTTTCATACGATTATTGGTCTTTATATTTCTTCTTTTATAACTTGCCCATTTTGATTTATGAATTTTTTTATAAATTAATGATTTTATCATTTTGACTATCATATATGTTGCAAATATTTTTTTCCCATTTTACCTTTTGCCTTTTTATTTTGTTAACATCACTTTGGGTAGGATAGAGATTGCTAATTTTTATTTGGTTGAGCGTAGCCAATTTTTCCTTTATGATTTCTATTTTTATTTTTGGCATCATGGTTAGGAAGGCTTTCTCACATCCAGCATTGTATAAATATTCACCCAAATTTTCTGCCATACCATTATGATGGCACTGTTTTTCATTTTAATCATTACCTCTCAGAAATTTATTTATTTTATTTTTTTTTTTTGAGACGGAGTCTCACTCTGTTGCCCAGGCTGGAGTGCAGTGGCGCAATCTCGGCTCACTGCAAGCTCCGCCTCCCGGGTTCCTGCCATTCTCTTGCCTCAGCCTTCTGAGTAGCTGGGACTACAGGTGCCCACAACCACACCCGGCTAATTTTTTGTATTTTTTTTTAGTAGAGACGGGATTTCACCGGGTTAGCCAGGATGGTCTCGATCTCCTGACCTCGTGATCCGCCCACCTCGGCCTCCCAAAGTGCTGGGATTACAGGCTTGAGCCACCACGCCCAACCAGAAATTTATTTTAGGTGGGGTAGAAGTTCATTAGACTTGTAAAAGTATCGATCTCCTGACCTCATGATCCGCCCACCTCGGCCTCCCAAAGTGCTGGGATTACAGGCTTAAGCCACCGTGCACAGCCAGAAATTTATTTTAGGTGGGGTAGAAGTTCATTAGACTTGTAAAAGTATCTGAAACATGTCTCAATCAATTTAAAGGTTTATTTTGCCAAGGTTAAGGGCCATGGCCTGTTACAAAGCTTCAGGAGGTCTTGAGAACATGTGGCCAAGTTGCTTGAGTTATAGTTTGGTTTTATACATTTTAGCAAGACAGAAGTTACAGGCAAAGACATAAATCAATATATGTAAGGTATACATGGGTTTGGCTCAGAAAGGCAGGACATCTCAAAGTGGGGGAGGGGAACTGGAGGGGGTGGTGCAGGGGTTCCAGCTCATAGGTGAATTCAGAGATTTCCTGATTGGCAATTCATTGAAAGAGTTAAGCCCTGCCTGAAGAGTTGAATTCAGCATAAAGACATGAGTTTAGATAAGAGGGTTGTGGAAGCCCAGGCGCTTGTTATATAGACGAAGACTCCAGGTAGCAGGCTTCAGAGAGTATAAATGGTGAATGTCTCTTATCAGAACTTAAAAGGTGTCAGACTCTCCAGAAAAAATACTTAGTAAGGAAAGGAGATTTTCTACAGAATGCAAATTTCTCCCACAGGAGACAGCTTTACAGGGCCGTTTCAGAATATGTCAAATAAACATATTTAAGGGTAAAATACTTTGATTTCCTTCAGGGCCTGTTATCTTTCATATGATGCTATACCAGAGTAAGGTTGGAATTTGGTATCTTATTGCAACTAAGAGTCTGTTTTGTCAGTCTTAACATCTCTGCTTTAATGTTAACACTGTCTAGTTATGTCTAAACTCCAAAGGATGGAAAGTATAATGAGGCATGTCTGACCCTTACTTCCTGTCATGGCCTGAACTAGCTTTTCAGGTTTCTTTGGGGTCCCCTTGGCCAAGAGGTGGATCTATTCAATTGATTGGGGTGCCTAGAACTTTACTTTTGGTTTACAGATTGATGCAAGAACCAGAAAATAGCCACAATTTATTAATATACTCAGGGCATTCCACTCCCAATAAGAAGGATGAATGACTTGCTCTCTGGATGGGGAATATTTATATCTAAATTCTGATTGTTTGGTTCTGCCTTTTACCCAATTTGGCATCTTGGATACTACACTGCTGTCAGTGTTAAACATAAAATTTGGTTCCCCTTCCTTCTGGTGCAGATATTATATGCATCTGGTGGAAGATGGTCTTGTCAATAGACAATTTGGTCTCTTTCACCACCACAGTACCTTTCTGATTCCTATAAGCTCAAGGCTGTCAATGCTATTGACACCACAGACTCAACACAAACTTACTTAGCACTTACTACATAAAAATCTGAGTTATACAATTTAGCAGAAAAAATTAAGTAAGAGATATAATTAAGCAGAAAAAATCAAGTAAGAGACAATTCCATGAACACTGATCAAAAAATCTTCAATGAAATATAGCAAGCTGAATGCAGCAGTTAAAAAGATTACACACCATGACAAGTTGGGATTTATTCCTGGAATGTAAAGTTGTTTCTGTCAGGCCTCTGAGCCCAAGCCAAGCCATCGCATCCCCTGTGACTTGCACGTATATGCCCAGATGGCCTGAAGTAACTGAAGAATCACAAAAGAAGTGAATATGCCCTGCCCCACCTTAACTGATGACATTCCACCACAAAAGAAGTGTAAATGGCCGGTCCTTGCCTTAAGCGATGACATTACCTCGTGAAAGTCCTTTTCCTGGCTCATCCTGGCTCAAAAAGCACCCCCGCTGAGCACCTTGCGACCCCCACTCCTGCCCGCCAGAGAACAAACCCCCTGTGACTGTAATTTTCCTTTACCTACCCAAATCCTATAAAACGGCCCCACCCTTATCTCCCCTCGCTGACTCTCTTTTCAGACTCAGCCCGCCTGCACCCAGGTGAAATAAACAGCCATGTTGCTCACACAAAGCCTGTTTGGTGGTCTCTTCACACGGATGCACATGAAATTTGGTGCCGTGACTTGGATCGGGGGACCTCCCTTGGGAGATCAATCCCCTGTACTCCTGTTCTTTGCTCCGTGAGAAAGATCCACCTATGACCTCAGGTCCTCAGACCGACCAGCCCAAGGAACATCTCACCAATTTTAAATCAGGTAAGCGGCCTCTTCTTACTCTCTTCTCCAACCTCTCTCACTGTCCCTCAACCACTTTCTCCTTTCCACTCTTCAATCTCTCCCTTCTCTTAATTTCAATTCCTTTCATTTTCTGGTAGAGGCAAAGGAGACACGTTTTATCCATGGACCCAAAACTCCGGCGCTGGTCATGGACTGGGAAGGCAGCCTTCCCTTGGTGTTTAATCATTGCAGGGATGCCTCTCTGATTATACACCCACGTTTCAAGGGTGTCAGACCACGCAGGGACGCCTGCCTTGGTCCTTCACCCTTAGCAGCAAGTCCCGCTTTTCTGGGGAAGGGGCAAGTACCCCTCAACCCCTTCTCCTTCAAGCTTAGTGGCAAGTCCCGCTTTTCTGGGGCAGGGGCAAGTACCCCTCAACCCCTTCTCCTTCACCCTTAGCGGCAAGTCCCGCTTTTCTGGGAGAGGGGCAAGTACCCCCAACCCCTTCTCCTTCACCCTTAGTGGCAAGTCCCGCTTTTCTACGGGGCAAGAACCCCCAATCCCTTATTTCCATGTCCCAACTTCTTATCTCTGTGCCCCAATCCCTTATTTCCATGCCCCAACCTCTTATCTCTGTGCCCCAATCCCTTATTTCTGCACTCCAACCTCTTATCTCTGCACCCCAATCCCTTATTTCCGCACCCTGACCTCTTATCTCTGTGCCCCAATCCCTTATTTCTGCACTCCAACCTCTTATCTCTGCACCCCAATCCCTTATTTCCGCACCCTGACCTCTTATCTCTGTGCCCCAATCCCTTATTTCCACACCCCGACCTCTTATCTCTGTGTCCCAATCCCTTATTTCCATGCCCCGACCTCATATCTCTGCGCCCCAATCCCTTATTTCCGCGCCCCAACCTCTTATATATCTGCACCCCAATCCCTTATTTCCGCACCCCGACCTCTTATCTCTGTGACCCAACCCCTCTTCCCACTTTTCTGGAAGGTAAGAACCCCCGAACTCCTTCCCTTTGTTTCTCTACTCTCTCTTTTCTCTAGGATTGCTTCCTTCACTGTGGGCAACCTTCCACCCTCCATTCCTCCATCTACTCCCTTGGCCTGTGTTCTCAAAAACTTAAAACCTCTTCAACTCACACCTGACCTAAAACCTAAATGCCTTATTTTCTTCTGCAATGCCGCTTGACCCCAATACAAACTCGACAGTAGTTCCAAATAGCCAGAAAATGGCACTTTGAATTTTTCCATCCTGCAAAATCTAAATAATCTTGTCGTAAAATAGGCAAATGGTCTGAGGTGCCTGACATCCAGGCATTCTTTTACACATCAGTCCCTTCCTAGTCTCTGTGCCCAGTGCAACTCATCCCAAATCTTCCTTCTTTCCCTCCCACCTGTCCCCTCAGTACCAACCCCAAGCGTCACTGAGTCTTTCTAATCTTCCTTTCCTACAGACCCATCTGACCTCTCCCTTCCTCCCCAGGCTGCTCCTCGCCAGGCCGAGCTAGGTCCCAATTCTTCCTCAGCCTCTGCTCCTCCACCCTATAATCTTTTTATCACCTCCCCTCCTCACACCTGGTCCGGCTTACAGTTTCGTTCGGTGACTAGACCTCCCCCACCTGCCCAGCAATTTACTCTTAAAAAGGTGGCTGGAGCCAAAGGCATACTCAAGGTTAATGCTCCTTTTTCTTTATCCCAAATCAGAAGCGTTTAGGCTCTTTTTCATCAAATATAAAAACCCAGCCCAGTTCATGGCTCATTTGGCAGCAACCCTGAGACAATTTACAACCCTAGACCCTAAAAGGTCAAAAGGCCATCTTATTCTCAAAATACATTTTATTACCCAATCTGCTTCCGACATTAAACTCCAAAAATTGGAATCTGGCCCTCAAACCCCACAACAGGACTTAATTAACCTCACCTTCAAGGTGTACAATAACAGAAAAAAGTTGCAATTCCTTGCCTCCACTGTGAGACAAACCCCAGCCACATCTCCAGCACACAAGAACTTCCAAACGCCTGAACCGCAGCAGCCAGGAGTTCCTCCAGAACCTCCTCCCACAGGAGCTTGCTACACGTGCTGGAAATCTGGCCACTGGGCCAAGGAATGCCCGCAGCCCAGGATTCCTCCTAAGCCATGTCCCATCTATGTGGGACCCCACTGAAAATCGGCTGTTCAACTCACCTGGCAGCCACTCCCAGAGCCCCTGGAACTCTGGCCCAAGGCTCTCTGACTGACTCCTTCCCAGATCTTCTCGGCTTAGCGGCTGAAGACTGACACTGCCCGATCGCCTCGGAAGCCCCCTAAACCATCACGGATGCCGAGCTTTGGGTAACTCTCACAGTGGAAGGTAAGCCCGTCCCCTTCTTAATCAATACAGAGGCTACCCACTCCACATTAACTTCTTTTCAAGGGCCTGTTTCCCTTGCCTCCATAACTGTTGTGGGTATTGACGGCCAGGCTTCTAAACCTCTTAAAACTCCCCAACTCTAGTGCCAACTTAGACAATACTCCTTTAAGCACTCCTTTTTAGTTATCCCCACCTGCCCAGTTCCCTTATTAGGCCGAGACACTTTAACTAAATTATCTGCTTCCCTGACTATTCCTCGACTACAGCCACATCTCATTGCCGCCCTTCTCCCCAACCCAAAGCGTCCTTCACATCTTCCTCTCATATCCCCCCACCTTAACCCACAAGTATGGGACATCTCTATTCCTTCCCTGGCAACCGATCATATGCCCATTACCATCCCATTCAAACCTAATCACCCTTACCCCACTCAACACCAATATCCCATCGTGCAGCACTCTTTAAAAAGATTAAAGCCTGTTATCACTTGCCTGCTACAGCATAGGCTTCTAAAACCTATAACTCTCCTTACCATTCCCCTATTTTACCTGTCCTAAAACCAGACAAGGCTTACAAGTTAGTTCAGAATCTGCGCCTTATCAACCAAATTGTTTTGCCTATCCACCCCGTGGTGCCAAACCCATATACTCTCCTATCCTCAATACCTCCCTCTACTAACCATTATTCTGTTCTGGATCTCAAACATGCTTTCTTTACTATTCCTTTGCACCCTTCATCCCAGCCTCTATTTGCCTTCACTTAGACTGACCCTGACACCCATTAGGCTCAGCAAATTACCTGGGCTGTACTGCCGCAAGGCTTCACAGATAGCCCCCATTACTTCAGTCAAGCCCAAATTTCATCCTCATCTGTTACCTATCTCGGAATAATTCTCATAAAAACACATGTGCCCTCCCTGCTGATCGTGTCCGATTAATCTCCCAAACCTCAATCCCTCACAAAAGAACAACTCCTTTCCTTCCTAGGCATGGTTAGTGCAGTCAGAATTCTTACACAAGAGCCAGGACCACACCGTGTAGCCTTTCTGTCCAAACAACTTGACCTTACTGTTTTAGTCTAGCCCTTATGTCTGTGTGCAGCAGCTGCCGCTGCTTTAATACTGTTAGAGGCCCTAAAAATCACAAACTATGCTCAACTCACTCTCTACATTTCTCATAACTTCCAAAATCTATTTTCTTCCTCATACCTGACGCATATACTTTCTGCTCCCCGGCTCCTTCAGCTGTACTCACTCTTTAAGTCCCACAATTACCATCATTCCTGGCCCAGACTTCAATCTGGCCTCCCACATTATTCCTGATACCACACCTGACCCCCATGACTGTATCTCTCTGATCCACCTGATATTCACCCCATTTCCCCATATTTCCTTCTTTCCTGTTCCTCACCCTGATCATGCTTGGTTTATTGATGGCAGTTCCACCAGGCCTAATCGCCACACACCAGCAAAGGCAGGCTAAGCGATAGTACAAGCCACTAGCCCGCCTCTCAGAACCTCTCATTTCCTTTCCATCGTGGAAATCTATCCTCAAGGAAATAACTTCTCAATGTTCCATCCGCTATTCTACTACTCCTCAGGGATTATTCAGGCCCCCTCCCTTCCCTACACATCAAGCTCGGATTTGCCCCCACCCAGGACTGGCAAATTAAATTTACTCAACATGTCCCGAGTCAGGAAACTAAAATACCTCTTAGTCTAAATAGACACTTTCACTGAATAAGTAAAGGCCTTTCCTACAGGGTCTGAGAAGGCCACCACAGTCATTTCTTCCCTTCTGTCAGACATAATTCCTCAGTTTAGCCTTCCCACCTCTATACAGTCTGATAACAGACCAGCCTTTATTAGTCAAATCAGCCAAGCAGTTTTTCAGGCTCTTAGTATTCAGTGAAACCTTTATATCCCTTACGGTCCTCCGTCTTCAAGAAAAGTAGAATGGACTAAAGGTCTTTTAAAAACACACCTCACCAAGCTCAGCCACCAACTTAAAAAGGACTGGACAATACTTTTACCACTTTCGCTTCTCAGAATTCAGGCCTGTCCTCAGAATGCTACAAGGTACAGCCCATTTGAGCTCCTGTATAGACGCTCCTTTTTATTAGGCCCCAGTCTTATTTGACACCAGACCAACTTAGACTGTGCCCCAAAAAAACTTGTCATCCCTACTATCTTTTGTCTAGTCATACTCCTATTCACCATTCTCAACTACTCATACATGCCCTGCTCTTGTTTACACTGCCGGTTTACACTGTTTCTCCAAGCCATCACAGCTGATATCTCCTGGTGCTATCCCCAAACTGCCACTCTAAACTCTTGAAGTAAATAAATAATCTTTGCTGGCAGGACTATGCTGAATCTCCTTAGGCACTCTCTAATCAGATGTCCTAGGTCCTCCCAACTCTTAGACGTTTTATACCTGTTTTTCTCCTTCTCTTATTCCATTTAGTTTTTCAATTCATACAAAACCATATCCAGGCCATCACCAATCATTCTATACGACAAATGTTTCTTCTAACAACCCCACAATATCACCCCTTACCACAAGATCTTTCTTCAGCTTAATCTCTCCCACTCTAGGTTCCCACACCACCCCTAATCCCGCTTGAAGCAGCCCTGAGAAACGTCGCCCATTCTCTCTCCATATCACCCCCCAAAAATTTTTGCCACCCCAACAATTCAACACTATTTTGTTTTATTTTTCTTATTAATATAAGAAGGCAGGAATGTCAGGCCTCTGAGCTCAAGCCAAGCCATCGCATCCCCTGTGACTTGCACGTATATGCCCAGATGGCCTGAAGTAACTGAAGAATCACAAAAGAAGTGAATATGCCCTGCCCCACCTTAACTGATGACATTCCACCACAAAAGAAGTGTAAATGGCTGGTCCTTGCCTTAAGTGATGACATTACCTTGTGAAAGTCCTTTTCCTGGCTCATCCTGGCTCAAAAAGCACCCCCGCTGAGCACCTTGCGACCCCCACTCCTGCCCGCCAGAGAACAAACCCCCTGTGACTGTAATTTTCCTTTACCTACCCAAATCCTATAAAATGGCCCCACCCTTATCTCCCTTTGCCAACTCTCTTTTCGGACTCAGCCCGCCTGCACCCAGGTGAAATAAACAGCCATGTTGCTCACACAAAGCCTGTTTGGTGGTCTCTTCACACAGACGTGCATGAAAGTTTCAACATATGAAAACCAATCAATGTAATATATTACAATAACAGAATGAAGGGGGGAAAACGTGATCATCTCAACTGATGCAGAAAAAAATGATCTCACAAAATTTAACACCCTTTCATGATAAAAACACTTGACAAAATAAAGATAGAAAGAAATTACCTTAACATAATAAAGGCCATGTATGAAAAGCCCATAACTAAGATCATACTCACTGGTGAAGGGTTGAAAGCTTTTCCTTTAAGATCAGGACTAAGACAAAGATGCCCACTTTTACCATTTCCATTCAACATGGTATTAGAAGTTCTAGCCAAAGCAATTAGGTAAGAAAAAGAAATGAAAGGCATAGAAATTGGAAAGAAAGAAGTAAAATTATCTGTTTATGGAAGGATATGATTTTATATACAGAAAACCCTAAAGACTACACCAAAAAAAAAAAAAAATCTGTTACAACTAGTAAATAAATTCAGCAACATGGTAAGATACAAAGTGAAAACACAAAAATCAGTTGCATTTTTATACTAACAATGAACAATCTCAAAAGGAAATTACAAAAACAACCCCATTTACAACAGCATCAAAATGTATAAAATCCTTATAAATTACTTAAGCAAGGAAGGAAAGACTTGTACAGTGAAAACTACAAAACATTGGTGAAAGAAATTTAAGAAGACATAAATAAATAAAAACATCTCATTCATGGTTTGGAAGACTTAATATAGTTAAGATGGTAATTTTAAGTCATGTGTATTTTAACACAATTTATAAGATTAGGGGAAAAAGAGATACAATTTCTACACAATAACAATCTGAGATAGCAATTTACATATATTCCTTACTGATAAACTCAGTGATGTCCACAAAAAGTCAGCATTAGGTCTGAAATCAAAATACCTGGGTTCAAATTTTGGCTTACCGGGTGGACTTATACAAGGTTCTAACTTTCCCTAAGCCTCAGTGTAAGTTTAATTATCCATTAAGTTAGAGTAATAATACCTACTTTCAAAGTTGCTTTACAGATTAAATGAAATAATATGCCAGATTACCTAGACAGCATGTACTATAGATGCTCAAGTTTTGTTGAAGAAAAAATTGGAATAATTTCATACCTAAGTATATCACTTTTAAATCAAAGCAATATAACACTTATTATTGGGTATTACTATGTAGAGAGTTATCAGAAGGAAAAACTTCAGTCTAATGGAAAAATAGGCTCAGAAGAGCAACAGTATATATGTATTTAATTTATATACAGTTGACCCTTAAGCAACAAAGGGGTTAGAGGATCTTCGTACAGTCTAAAATCCCATATAACTTTTGACTCCTCAACAACTTAACTACTAATAGATTTCTGTTGGCCAAAGCCTTACTAGTACCATAAGCAGTTCATTAAATCATGTTTTGTTTGTTACATGTATTACATGCTGTATTCTGACAATAAAGTAACCTAGAAAAGAGAAAATGCAATTAGGAAAATCATAAGGAAGAGAAAAAACATTTGCAATACTGTACTGTATTTATCCATACTGTAAGTTTATGTCATCTGTTTATAAGATGAATCATCTGTCTGAAATCGTGAGCAACTGCAGCTACAGACCTCAATCTAGAGTACATAACAAACTATTACACTTTTTGTTATAATCCATGACTTTTCTCTGCTTCCTGCAAGCACTTCCAGCATCACTAGTGGCTCTTAGTGTGGGTCCCACAGTGTTATTTCAGGTTCTCAGTATTGCACTAAACATGGTGAAAAATGCATGAGAACCTTGAGAGATCACTTTTTGGTGTAATTCACAATTTACTGAAGAGAGAATCTGCCCTCACAGAGATGATTATTGTCACAAGGTGCTTTAAGTGGATATTCGTAACATCTGAGCTCACTGCAGTAGTAACAGGAGGCGTCTACAAAATTATTACAGTAGTACAGTATGTGCTACAGTGAATTTTATGCAGCTATGATTTTACACTGCATCCTCACATTTGTTTACGTTTCTCTGGACTGTGAATGGTAACATGTACAGTCTGTATGCCTAAGTTTTGATAAATCTTAACTTCTTATTATGGATTTGTGTGTATTTTATGGTAGTAAATGATAAAATAAACTAGTGCTACATATATTTTATGCATCATGCCATACCTAATTTTTCTTAACTTTTTTGATATTTCTAAGCTATGCTGTTTGTAACTTTTTTCAAATTGTCACAAATCTCAAAAAAAATTTCCAATACACTTATTGAAAAAAATTCATATAGAAGTGGATTAGTGCAGCTAAAACTCTTGTTGCTCAAGGGTCAACTGTATTTTTTTTATTATTTTATATATATTATTTAAAATACATTTATTCATTTTATATATGCATATGTGTGTATATAATAAATAAGATATGTATATATGAGGTCATCCTAAGGTCTTGAGTGTTATCCCTTTATAGACAAAGGAATCAAAAAAGAATCTCAAGGAAGTCTCAGTCTATTAAAAAAGGTGCACATACATAAAGGCACCTTTAAAGGAATCCTCAAGAATTCGAACAGTTCATTTATGATGGTATACAAGATGAACAGCATTCACTGGACTAATACAAATAGTAAAATGCAACTGTAAATTGTTAGAAATTAATGCATTAATGCATAAGTATAATTTAAGAGAGTATCCAATCAGAATTATATTATGATTAAGCTGATGGCATAGCTTTCAAGTATAGGAAAGATATGTAGACTTTTACAGGGTATAATAAAGGTACACAGACTTTACTATATAGAAAAGATATGCTAAGGGCTCAGTTTATGTCTGAGGGCAGAAACCATGCAGGGACACACCAGAGGCAATAAACTATCTTTAGCTACCTCTGCATGCCTTACCCAGAAGCCATCTGGGTGCATGCTAAACAGAGCTGCCAAGGAAGGGAGGAGAAGGGGACAAACTTACAATGGCCATTTGCAATGGAATTCACTTATTGAGAGCAGAGAGATGACTGACCAAAGTTTACATAGGTCTCTCAGATGAGGAATTTGCACTGAGATTAGCAATATGATTTGCCAGATTAATTTCTTAGCCCTAAGGGAACCAGATTCTTTTAATCAGTTGGCCCATCTGTCCTGGAGATTTCTTGGAGAGAAACAGTAGACTGTGATTTATCAAGGAATTGCAGGCTTATTGGTAGGACAAGCTTCTAGGGAACCTCCGGCCTTAGCTAGTGTCACAAGCCTCTGAGCTGCCCTTGAGTGAGATAAAATAAAAGCTATCCTGTGAAGACCACAGGCTTTTTAGCAGAATCTGCGTGGGCAACCTTCATCTGATTCTTTTCTTTCTTCTAATATCTAGACACTTCATTGGTTCCTACTCTGGCTTTAGACCTTGGACTTGAACTTTCAGAGTCTTCTCCCCAACTCTACCCCTGATTAAATAGCTTGAGTCTCCTCCTGTTCTTTCCAGTCCCTGAACTTCCTTTCCTTTGGTGACCCAAATCCCCATTCCAGACTAGGTCCAATCATCTTTCTTTTATCAATCCAGCACACCTCAGAATTTTCCCTCATTCAAGCCCCAAGAGTACCAAGAAAGAAAACCCAGCCAACTAAGTGCCCTCGCACTAGGAATGAGGAGATGTAGTTGGGGACCATCTATCCTGGTTGCTCACCCTCCAGAGACCCTTTCCAAAATCTTGTCCACCCACCACTAAAGACTTCCTTTATTCTGGTCACAGAGAAGTGAGCAACTGATTTTCCCCACTCCCATGACCCTGTTTCCACCTCAGTGACCTGGGTCAAGAATAAGAAGAGAGAATAGTGCCTGAATAATTACCTCACCTGAGATTCACAATCACCCTGTCAAGTACATATATATGTACAATCACATCATATGCACTTAAGAGCCGATATGGTTTGGCCGTGTCCCCACCCAAATCTCATCTTAAATTATAGTTTCCATAATCCCCACGTGTCATGGGACAGACCCAGAGGGAGGTAATTGAATCATAGGGGTGGTTACCTCCATGATGTTCTTGTGATAGTGAGTGAGTTCTCAAGAGATCTGATGGTTTTATAAGGGGCTTTTCTCCCTTTTGCTCAGCACTTCTCCTTGCTGCCACTACAATTGTAAGTTTATTGAGGCCTCCCCAGCCTTGCAGAACTGTGAGTTAATTAGACCTCTTTCTTTTTAAATTACCCAGTCTCGGGTATTTCTTCATAGCAGTGTGAGAACGGACTAATACAAGAGCTAAGAAAAGCTTCCACTTTTAAATAAAATGTCTTACTCTTCCAAAAAGAACAGTGCTTATTGAAATAAATGAGAAGAGGATGGTTGTTTTAAATCAGTATGACTAATGTTAAAAAAAAAAATCAACAGCTGGTAAGGAATACTAGGTAATCACATACACACGAGCTACCAACTAGGAACATTACAGTGTTATACCTACCATAATTTACTTCTCCCTCCCCATGTAGTCACTCAGAGTGGCAGCTGTGAACTTGGGCTTTGCATATTGGAGACCATTAGGAAAAGCAGCATGATTCATCATCTTCTGTTTATGTTACTTTAGTCACTTGGAGGCAGATCTTCTGAGACACTAACAATAGTCTGAGACTAAATTGATTTTTTTTCTTTAAATAACTTGTGGATTTTTTAACTCTTGAAATTTCTGCCATTTCAGGTAAAGATGCATAAAATCTTTGAGTGAGAAGGGAACTTGGAGGTCACCTAGAACAGTCTCTCATCCTCATCAAACTATCTTCTACAACATTGCTGGAAGCTATACAGACTGTCTTTGAGTTCTTCCAGCAATGAGAAGTTCACCACTCAAAAGAAAGACCATTTTGATTTTTCAGATAGCTCTAATTATTATCATGTTTTTCTTTTACATACTCCTATGTAATCAATCAGTAGTTTGTTAAAATTTTTTCTTTTAGCTTTATCCAGGAGTGTATTAGTCTGTTCTCACATTGCTATAAGGAACAACCTGGGACTGGGTAATTTATAATGAAAAGAGGTTTACTTGGCCCACGGTTCCACAGGCTGTGCAGGAAGCATGGCTGGGGAGGCCTCAGGAAACTTACAATCATGACAGAAAGCAAAGAGGAAGGGGGCAGAGCTTACATGGCCAGAGCAGGAGGAAGAGAGAGATGGAGAAGGTACTACATACTTTTAAACAACCAGATCTCATGATTACTCACTCACTATCATGAGAACAGCACCAAGGGGAAATTTTCCCCCTTGATCCAATCACCCCCAACCAGACCCCATCTCCAACAGTGTGAATTAAAATTTGACATGAGATTTGAGCAAGGACAAAGACACAAACCATATTATTCCACCCCAACCCCTCCCAAATCTCATGCCATTCTCACATTTCCAAATACAATCATGTCTTTCCAACAGTAGACCAAAGTCTTAACTCACACCAGCATTAACTAAAAAGTCTAAAGTCCAAAGTCTCATCTGAGACAAGCCTAGTCCCTTTCACCTATAAGCCTGTAAAACAAAAAACAAGTTAGTTACTTCCAAGATAATATGAGGCTACAGGTATTAGGTAAACAATCCCTTTCCAAAAGTGAAAAATCTACCAAAAGAAAGGGACTCCAGGCCCCAAGCAAATCCAAAACCCAGCAGGGCAGTCATTAAATCTTAAAGCTCTAAAATAATCTCCTTTGACTCCTTGTCTCACATCCAGGCCGCACTGATGCGAAGGGTGGGCTCCCAAGGCCTTGAGCAGCTTCTCCACTGTGGCTCCGCAGGGCCCATCCCACACAGCTGCTCTCAAAGCCAGGCACTGAGTGTCTGTGGGTTTTCCAGGTGCATAGTGCAAGCTGTCAGTGAATCTACTATTTTTGGGTCTGAATGATGGTGGCTTTCTTCTCACAGCTCCACTGGGCAGTGCCCCAGTGGGGACTCTGTTTGGGGGCTTCAACCCCACATTTCCCCTCTGCACTCCCCTAGCAGAGGTTCTCAATGAGGGCCCCAATTTCAAAGCAGGCTTCTCCTTGGACATCCAGGCTTTACCATACATCTTCTGAAACCTAGGTGGAGGCTCCCAAGTCTCAACTCTTGCACTCTGCACACCTGCAGGCTTAACACAATATGGAAGCCACCAAGGCTTAGAGTTTGCTCACTCTGGAGCAGTGACCTGAGATGTATCTGGGGCCCTTTTAGCCATGGCTGGAGCTAGAGTGGCTGGGATGCAGGGAGCAGTGTCCCAAGGTTGTGTAGGGCACTGGGGCCCTGGGGACCTGGCTCACAAAACCATTCTTCCCACCTAGGCCTCCAGGCCAATGATGGGAAAGGCCATGAATGTCTTTGAAATGCCTTGGAGGCATTTTCCTCATTGTCTTGGCTATTAATATTTGGCTTCTCTTTATTTATGCAAATTTCTGCAGCAGGCTTGAGTTTTTCCACAGAAAATGGGTTTTTGTTTTCTATCACATGGCCAGACTGCAAATTTTCCAAATTTTTACACTCTGCTTTCCTTTTAAATGTAAGTTCCAGTTTCAGATAATCTCTTTGCTCATGCAAGTGAGCATACGCTGTTAGAAGCAGCCAGGTCACACCTTGAACACCTTGCTGCTTAGCAATTTCTTCCACCAGATACTCCAAATCATCTCTCTCAAGTCCAAACTTCCACAGATCTCTAGGGCAGGGCACAATGCCTCCAACCTCTTTGCTAATGCATAACAAAAATGACCTTTGCTCTAATTCCCAGTAATTTCCTCATCTCCATCTGAGAACTCATCAGCCTGGCCATCTCTGTCCATATCACTATCAGCATTTTGGTCAAAACCATTCAACAAGTCTCTAGAAAGTTTCAAACTTTCCCTCATCTTCCTGTCTTCTTGAGTCCTCCAAACTGTTCCAACCTCTGTCCATTATTCAGTTCCAAAGTCACTTCCACATTTTTAAGTATTTTTATAGCAATGTCCCACTTTCCAGTACCAATTTTCTGTATTAGTACATTTTTGCATTGCTATAAAGAACTACCTGAGACTGGGTAATTGATTTAAAAAAAAATAAAAGAGGCTTAATTGGCTCACAATTCTGCAGGCTATAAAGGAAGCATGGCTGGGGAGGCCTGAGAAAACTTACAATCATGGCAGAAGGCAAAGAGGAAGGAGACATGTCTTACACAGCCAGAGCAAGAGGAAGAGAGATGGGGGAAGGTGCTGCACACTTTTAAACAACCAGATCTCGTGATTACTCACTCACTATCATGAGAACAGCACCAAAGGGGAAGTTCGCCACCTTGATCCAATCACTGTCCACCAGACCACATCTCCAACATTGGGGATTAAAGTTTGACATGAGATTTTGTCAGAGAGACAAAGACCCAACCATATAAGGGAGGAAATTATTTTCCTGATCACATAATATCTCTTCAACTAAGGCAGATTTTATGTTTGTTTTATCTTCTCATTTCTAGGATAAGAATCTATAGCTTCTCTAAATTTTCCTTTAGACTCCTCAGCATCCCAGACACTCTCCTTTGAATGAATAGCTCTTTTGGAAAATGGCATGAAATTTTAACAGAAGGCTAACAGATGTGACCTGGCCTGGGCAGAGTTTGTAGAGCCTCTGTGAGCACAATGCTTCTACACATGCAACTTTGGCTTTCTTAGAAGCCATGCCACACTATTGTCTCATCTGAGTTTGCAGGTGTGGAACCTCCTGGTGTCCTTCTCAAATAGTGTGACTTACTTTCAGGGTGTCCCTGGTTCTGTCACTCAAGGATTCACTTTTTAACTCAAATTTCCTATTTTATATATTTATAGCTACTAAATTTTATCTTGTAAGCTTTACCCCAATATGGCAGATATCAAGACCACTTAACCATTATTTACTGTCTCTTCCAAATTTTCATTATTCAAAAATGTGAGGAGTGTTTTCAAAGACTTCATCTTTGATGATAATTCTGACTACCCAAGGATAAAGCAAAGCAGTAGAGACATAAACCCTTTAATGAATGATCTTTGGAGAAGTTTTATAAGCTGGCTGCTGAACTAGAGCCTAATGGTAAAAACACTTCCCAACTATCAGAGAGTTACATATCTTGATGACATTCCCAAGACCCCTAAACCACAATTGCCCATAGAAGTTTTTTTACATAATAAAATACTTTGGCCTACATAAAGGTACTTCATAAGAAGCGGCCCTTAAAACTCACCATTGCATTTCATGTAAGGATTTATTGAGCAGATGGTTTACTACATGACATATGTCCTCTTTACAAGGACCCAACAGAAGCTTCTCTGCTCTCAGTGCTGTTTCTCTTTCTTATAGACACTTGTATTTATGATGTTTCCTCTTTGCTTTGACTGTTAGGAAGCCCACAGCAACATTTGCAAATTACCTCTAGGAAGTGTACAAAGTGTGGAATAACAGAATGTCATGGCATACATTTAATGAACCAACAACACACTCAGTTTCCTCTTATTTCCTTTAACGTTGTTTTTCCTTTACCCTAATTTTCTCCCTCTTTTGCTTCATCTTATTAAACTTTATGTATTGTTAAAGCCATCAAAAATCTTTTTAGAACAAAGACAAAAATAGAAGATAGGTAAACGATCCAGGCCATATTTTCCTAAGGATTTTATCAACAACAATATCATGAGAATTTTGCTAGATGGTTTGCTGCATCAAAATACATACACTGTGTTTATAGTTTTAACATGATCCACAGGACTTATGATTATTTATTTATTTAACTTTTTTTTTCTTTTTGAAACAGGGTCTCACCCTTTCACCCAAGCTGGAGTGCAGTGGTGTAATCACAGCTTGCTACAGCCTCAACCTCCCAGGGTCAAGCAATCCTCCTGCCTCAGCCTCCTGAGTAGCTGGGACTACAGGCACTCACCACCACACCCGGCTAATTATTTTTTATTTTTTGTAGAGATGGGGTCCCACTATGTTCCCCAGGCTCAATTATTTAAAAGAAAAAGGAAAATAAGGAAATGTCCTTGTCCTAGTAGAACCATACCAGTTCCTGACAATTACTACTTTTCTAAATGTTTACAAATCATAAGTACAGTTGCCATTTTTAGAATTTTTCCAGGGATTAATATCAAGCTAGAAATTCAGGAATTAATATAAAGCTGTCCATTCTGTTTGTGGAGGGTGGCATGCATATTTTGTTTTTTCTTTAGAAATCGGGAATATTTGCTCATTCCAAGTATCCTGGAATTCCTCCTATCCTTCATGTCTTATTTAAAGATCACTGATAATAGCTTTGAATTATTAACTGTCAGTTCTCTCAGTATTCTGGGGCAATTAAGAAATGCAGTGAACTTTATATTTAAGCCCAAGAAAAATTAGGCATCATTCTTTTGAGAATAAGGTTTAAAGTATGTTACAAGCTGTTCAAGTGGTTAAATTAGAATAATTAGTATTTTGTGCAAATAATTTTACCACAAATATAAGCCTCAAGAGAGAGAAGTGAGAGAGTTCAGGAAATTAAAATTTATTGTGAACTAACTGTGTATGGGTACCACACTAGGTGGTTTACATACCTAATTTCACATTTGTAATAATCCTATAATGATAAAAAAAATAACTGTTGGGTACTAGGCTTAGCACCTGGGTGACAAAATAATCCGTACAACAAACCCCCGTGGGACAAGTTTTACCTGTAACAAACCTGCACATGTATTCCTGAACCTAAAATAAAAGTTAAAAAAAATCTTATGATCTAAGTGATGGTGTTATCTTACAGATGAAAAAAAGTTAAATTTCAGGGAGGTTAAATAGCTGCCTTAGATCACAAAGATAAATTATAAGGCTGGGTCTTGAACACATAGCTCATGCTTTTTCCCCCATATCAGACACGTGAAGTAACATAAAATGGTTAGCCATTTATAACCTTTATCTGACTGGAAAATGACAGTCATGAGGTTTATGCCTGTCTTGGTAATCTTGTTCCTTCAACACAAAAGTCAACTTGGAGCTAAGAAAACCTACACAAAAGAAGAGTTTTGAGTCCCCAAGAAAAATAAATTACAAAGAAAATAAACTTTTACCAGAGTACTAAGAGGTAGTAAGGCTGCCATACCAAAGGCCAAGGGGAAAATTCTCATAGTAAGAATGAGATATGGCTGGGTGCAGTGGCTCACACCTGTAGTCCCAGCACTTTGGGAGGTCAAGGCAGGTGGATTTCTTGAGCTCAGGAGTTCAAGACCAGCCTGGGCAACATGGCAAAACCCCATCTCTACCCCCCACACCCCAAAAAAGAAAAGAAACAAAAAGTTAGCTAGGCATGGTGGTGCGCACCTGTGGTCCCAGCTACTCAGGAGGCTGAGGTGGGAGAATCACTTGCACCTGGGAGGCAGAGGGTGCAGTGAGCCAAGATGGTGCCACTGCACTCCAATCTAGGTGACACAGTGAGACTCTGTCTCAGAAAAACTTCAAAAAGGAGAATGAGATATGTAATTATGAAAAAATAAGACAATATCCTTCGAGCAAAGTAAAGAAAAGAAAAAAGAAAAGTTAGATCAGGCAGTGACAGAACATTATCAGGCAATGGCAGATGATAATTAAAGTTTAGTTAAGAAAAACGTATCTATATTTAGTTACTTATATTTCTTTAAATTTGCTTTAATTGCAGTTGAAGCCATAGTAGTAACATGTGTAGAAGAGACTGATCCAGGAGGTTGGGGTAGGCTCCTGGTATCTCTTCTTTGATAAATCTCTCTAGCTGACTGTAGTGCTTAACTGCAAGTTAGAAGCTGGAGCCATTGAATGTATACATCATGCTGCCTAGCATCTAGGAACAAAGAAAAAAAAGTCTTCTAAAGTTGAGATTATTAAATAATTAGTATATAATAGAACATATAATCTTCTGAAGAAGTAATTCATAAGAAAGAGTTTATAAATGTGTTGCTGATTTTAAATAAAACAGTGTGTTTCTCAGGAGTGTAAATTAGTTCAACCACTGCAGAAGACAGTGTGGCAATTCCTCAAAGTCCTAAAGACAGAAATACCATTTGACCTAGCAATCTCATTATTGGGTATATACCCAAAGGAATATAAATCATTCTATTATAAAGACACATGCACGCATATGTTCATTGCAGCACTATTCACAATAGCAAAGACAAGGAATCAACCTAAATGCCCATCAATGATGGACTGAATAAAGAAAACGTGGTATGTATAAACCATGGAATACTATGCAACCATTAAAAAGAATGAGATCATGTCCTTTGCAGGGGCATGGATGGAGCTGAAGGCCATTATCCTTAGCAAACTAACATAGGAACAGAAAACCAAATACTACGTGTTCTCACTTATAAGTGGGAGTTAAATGATGAGAACACATGGACACATAGAGGGGAATAACCCACACTGGGGCCTATTGGGGGATAGAAAGTGGGAGGAGGGAGAGGGAGAGGATCAGAAAAAAATAACTTATGAGGCCGGGCGCGGTGGCTCACGCCTGTAATCCCAGCACTTTGGGAGGCCGAGGCGGGCGGATCACGAGGTCAGGAGATCGAGACCATCCCGGCTAAAACGGTGAAACCCCGTCTCTACTAAAAATACAAAAAATTAGCCGGGCGTAGTGGCGGGCGCCTGTAGTCCCAGCTACTTGGGAGGCTGAGGCAGGAGAATGGCGTGAACCCGGGAGGCGGAGCTTGCAGTGAGCCGAGATCCCGCCACTGCACTCCAGCCTGGGCGACAGAGCGAGACTCCGTCTCAAAAAAAAAAAAAAAAAAAAAAAAAAAAAACTTATGAGTACTAGGCTTAACACTGGGTGATGAAATAATCTGTCCAACAAACCGCCATGACACACGTTTACCTATGTAACAAACCTGTACATGTACCCCTGAACTCAAAAGTCAAAACAAAAAAAGTGTGGTTCTCAAATTTCCATCAGATACCAGAGTATCTCCCAAATTCATTCAAGGTGACTAGCATACACTTCCAGGGAGACATAACTACAATGCAATACAGGTAAAGATCCAATTGTATTGTTACTTACCTGGCACAAGACTACTTCTGATAACTGATAAAAGAATGAATTGAATAGCAAACATTTATCATTTTTTATCCAACAGTATACAAGAAAGAGGGTGTTTCTGTCATATATGATAAACATTGATTCCTTACCTAGAAGCATACGTACACCAAAAAGGGCAACCCATGCAGATAATTCTCCATAACAGAAAGAGACCTTAAAAGCATACAATATTTTGTTCTATTTTTGCCTCTTCCTTTCTATTCCAGCTACTCATAATCATGTCTGCATTCAATCAGATCTAAACCTATTGAGATTTCAGGAGCCCCAGCCTATGGAATCCTATCATGTGCCTTTCAGTCCCTAACCCTAGAACCTAATACCTGTCATCTCCATTTACCTGGTAGCAGCTGCCACTACAAAAGCAATAGTCCTCATGTTTTTAGTATCTACAACATACTAGCAGACACTGAGCTGAGCTCATTTCATAATTAATCTCAAACTTCATCACAATCCTACAAGTTCTAATAATACTCCAATTTAAAGTTTAGGAAGCAAGGTCAGAGAGCCAATAAGTGGCAGAACCAGAATTGAAAACCAGGCACATCCAACTCTAAAGCTTTGCCTTTCCAATAAGTCACATTGCCCCTCTAATTACAAACAGAGTATCCTCTTCCTCCTCAGTACCCAATCCTTCTTTCTCTGATCTTTTCTGAGTTAAGCACCTTACACCATAACATTATGTCTTGAGTCAATTAGGAGACTTTTACTGTCACTCTGCAGTTCCAAATAGCAGTAAACCTATCTCAAACTGGCTTGAACACTGAAGCAGCTTTATTGGGTTCGAGTAACTAGAAAATTAAGAGGTAGGGAAGCATTAAGCATGCTTTGCTAAGGGCTCCAGCCCCATTTCTCTGCTGTTTTGCTGCCTGTGCTCGACTCCTTAAGTTGCCTTCAGAAGACAGTTAAAGGGAAAATAAAGTCCTACTTCAGAGAACCATCTGACAAAAGTACTAGGGTTCCCTCTGATGACCACTCTAAACAAGTCACAATGGCCAACACCAGTAATATGCTATGGCTGCCCTAGGGCTATGTTCTCCATCTCTGGAACAGTTCCTGAACAAAACATTCTAGCAAGAGAAGTAAGATTACCTGGTTGGACTACAACAGTGGTTCTGCATATTAGCATCACCTGGTGATCTGTACGTACACTACCAACTCCCAGGCCACATCCCAGATCAATTCATCTCTAGAGCTGGCATCCTGGTTTTTATAATTTTGTTAAACTCCACAAGTAATTGGAATGTGCATCAGAGTTAGAAACAACTGGCTTACACTTATCAGATCACATTCCTGGAGTTCAGAGTGGGATCAATCCCACTCACACTGCATGCACCCCTCTGAGGTGAAGTGGAATGGGTGGGATGGATGCAGGAGGGGTAGTCTCAATGCCTCTGCAGCATTTACCATGCCTTGTTTTAAAATGGCCTCTTCCCCACTACACCATAAACTTCATGAAAATATAAAGTGTGTCAGGTCTACTCACCATTGCACCTAGCAAGTACCTGGATGTAATAGTAAATATCCATTGAAACTTTTTAATGAATGAATGATTTGCAGACTCCATAGGGCTGGCTTTGCAAGCAAGTCCTATTCTCCTTTAAATGAGACAGACATCTTCTTCAGATTAACCTCTCAGTGTCCACTGTTCACTCTTGGCTCAAAACTCTCAGGGATTTTCCCTTGCCTGCTTCATAGCCTCCAGCTTCTTCACCATGTGTTAAAGGTCCCCCACAGTTTACCCCTTATCTACTTCTCCAGTGCCATCCCTGAGGATTACCTGCACTCAAAATACCTCATCTTTACTGAATTCTTCTCAAATGCATTCTACCTACAAGAAGCTGCTTTTTTCCCCACCATCAAGAATGGCTATAAAATAACCTTATTTTCATTCAAAAATTGAACTAATGCTCTACGCAAAGTGTGTTGGATCATGTGAAGGATAATAATAACATCATAATAACAACCAACACTTTTTCAGCTGCTGTAAAAGCAAGCAACTTCTCTCTTGTCCTATAATATGGCATTTTATGTGTTACATATTAACAGGTTGCAGCACAACATACTAACTGCAATGACCTTAGGAAATGGTTATGTTTGTTACCCTTAGTTTCCCAGATGGGAAAACTGAGGCACAAGGAGACTATGTGACTTATCCAAAGCCACACAGCTAGTAAGTTGCAGGCACAGGATTTAAGCTTGTTATATGACTTCAGAATCCAGGCACTTAATCATTACAACCTTGGCAGGCAGGAAAAGAGCAAATAAACTGTGACAAGAGGCTGGGCTATGACAGTGGCAGTGGGAATGAGGAGAAAAGGTCATCCATGCATTCACAGAGAGGTATCATAAAGGAAAGGCAAGCAGTGAAACCTCAACAATACCATAGCTTATAGCTGTATAATGAAAATGAATCCAAACGGCCATATTACAGGACAAGAGAGAAATCTTGGCAGAGTATAGGTTCTCATAAAAGATGGGCTCTTAAACGAGATATTTTTATGATCTGAAGATTAATAACATGTAAGGGGCTGATCAGGAAAGGGTTTGAATGTGAGGGTGGCCAGGGGTCAGAGCCAGGCAAGAATCTGAGGATTGTGGTCTCCCATCCATTGTCTAATGCCTGAGTCAGGCTGAGGCTCAAAAAATAAAAAAGTCAAAATCAGAATCATGGTCTCAGAGACCCAGCCCATGTGGCATGCGTCCTCTAGAGAGAGGCCCCTGGATTTCAGAAGTCTAGAAATGTGTGTAGAGCAATAAGGCAAAACACAGCAGGTGATGCCAGCTGGAACCTTCTCTGTTTTATTCATGCCTCATTGGCAGACGGCTGGTTCCCGGGAGGTGGCTGAATCTCACAAGGTTCAGATGTTAGAGGAAACAAATAACTAATTGTGCTGAACCTCAGCTTGGATTCATGCTGGGGTGTGGACAAGCGTTTGTGTCTCCAGAGACTGCAGTGAAGTGGAAAGCATCTATTAGCCAGCTTGGTGATCTGAACTCAACAGAATAATTGAACTGTTGCCAAATCTGTGGGTGACTAGATGTCCTGTGTAAGCCAGGACAATCCTGAGAAATCATGGTCATTGTCAACCGTGGCCTACACTTGAAAGGTATGGCATGTCCCCATTTTCCCTTGGAAACACATTGTGCATCTCTCTAAACTTGTTTAAGTTTGGTTACATTTCTTATAGGAACTAAGTGTATTTTCATCTTTTATATTCTTCTACCTAGATAACTAACAAGTCTATCCCCTGCTCTGTCAAAGACTTCCCTTTTATATATTTTAAAACTATTTGATGCATCAAGCCTTGCCTTCTATTCTAGTTCAATTCAGAGATCAGAATTAGAACAACTTCTGAGTGCTCCCCTATCTGCAAGATCTTATGCTCAGAGTTGGACAGGTGAAGGGAAAATAATTAAAAGGTTGGTCCTTCCCTTCAAATAGCTCTCAAATCTTTTGGGATACAAACACAGCTTTATATCATAGAAATCTGTGACCACAGTGTAATGAAAATGACATAAGATCTCAAGTGATGATTAGATTGCAAGGAGGTTTCCTAGAGAAGGCAATTCTCAGCTTGGCCTTGAAAGTGGAGTATGATTTCAACAAGAAAAGAAAATGGTCACTTGAATCCTCTGCGATTCCCTTAGAAATAAGGTGTGATATGAATAAAAAATAAAATAAATATTCAAGTTGTAATATTTTCAGGGAATCTGTATGGAGACATCCAGAAGGTAGTTAGCAGTTCCGGACTGTAAATTCAGACATGGAAGCCACATGCCTATGACGATGAGCAAAGCTGTGGGGTAGATAGAACATGCCTGGAAAATTGGAAGAGAAGCCTGAGCAAGGAATCTTAGGGAACACCTCAGTGTAAGGCAGAGACAAAAGTGGAGACACTAACATGAGCTAAGAGCAGTTGTCAGAGAGAACAGTAAACTGTCAGCATATCAACAAAGAAGGATTTCTGAAAATGTATCAGGTAGGATCAAGACTGAGGAGAGGCCACAGTATTTGACATTTAAAAGCCATTCTCAACCTTCCTAAGAGTAGTTTCAGTGGAGCAGTAAGTGTGGATGCCTGATTGGATCCAAAGTGTGGATGCCACATTGGATCAAGAAATGAAAGGGACTTGAGGGATGTTGGGAGCTCCTCTTTTTCAGCAAATGAGATGAAGGGAAGACAGCATCTTAAATGGAGATTTGGTGAAGAAAAGGATTTTCCTTTTAACAACAGTTAGGCACTATGGAGATTAGTTAAATCAAGTGATTTCTCACCCTTTGGGGGTTTATAGTCCTAGCAAGATTTACAATACGTAAGAAGCCTCAAAATGACTAAGTTCAGAAAACGGTGGACACAGTTGAAAACACAGGCAAATTTTCTGGAAGCGGATGAAGCTGAAGTTCCAAGACCCTTCCATTGCATGAAATCCTCCAGAAGTTCAACTTAATTATCAACTTAATTTCGTTTATGATTTTTTATTCTTTTTCTTAAGGAGGACTCCAAATTTATAAACACTTTGAGACCAAGAAAACCTGGATTGCCACTGACAAAGAATAAATAAAATTGTCACTATCTTTAAATATCATGAACAGACTCAAAATAATTAATTCCTTACCATTGTAGATGGTTGAGCCAAGGCTGGACTCATGTGAGAGAATGAGTACCTGGGTGATGAAATAATCTGTACATCAAACCCCTGTGACACAGGTTTACCTATATAACAAACCTGTACATGTACCCCTGAACCTAAAAGTTTTTTTGTTTGTTTGTTTGTTTTGAGATGGAGTCTCGCTCTGTCGCCCAGGCTGGAGTGCAGTGGCACGATCTCGGCTCACTGCAACCTCCGCCTCCTGGGTTCAAGCAATTCTCCTGTCTCAGCCTCCTGAGTAGCTGAGACTACAGGCACATGCCACCATGCCTGGCTAATTTTTGTATTTTTAGTAGAGATGGGGTTTCGCCATATTGGTCAGGCTGGTCTCGATCTTCTGACCTTAGAAGATCTTCTGACCTTAGGTGATCCACCTGCCTCAGCCTCCCAAAGTGCTAGGATTACAGGCATGAGCCACCACATCCAGCCCCTAAAAGTTTTTTTAAAAATAATGCAAAAGACTGATCTGTATGTGCTAGAAAAAAAAAAAAAAAAAACAGAAGGGAATGAGTCTAATCCGCAACAGAATGAAGTCAATGGCCTGTAAGCTCGCTCTCAACACAATGGCTCCAGCTTTTTAAAGTTTCACCCCTTTTAAAAGGAACAAGTCTCAAGGATTTTTTACTCATATTTTTAAATACAGTAGTTCTTAACCATTAAGATAAATACATACATACACACATACATGCATACATACATACATAGTAGAGATCTAGTTACACATGATCTTGACATATACATTCAATATGGAAAAAATGTAGATTTTTTGAAAGTTACAAGTTCTAAGTCTGATTCTACTACCAATCCATTTTCTGTTCAGCTTTATTCTACCTTGTAAGGAATATGATTCTTATTCTGTTAAGAGAAACAAACAAACAAATAGCTGTCTGCCTGCCTCCAGCAGCTTTAATTTTCTTTAATTTTTAATATTAAATTACTTTGTATCCGTTATAGTATTTCTAAGGTTTTGGTATAATTGCTCTATTAGCTTTGTCAAATTAGTTGGAAAGTTAACTACCATTTATTATAGAACAGTTAACACACAGGAATTAACCATTCATTAAAAGTTGTTAAAATATTGCCTATAAATCCATCTAGCCAAGGGAATTTCTGGCAGCTAGTTATCTGGCAATTTTTAAAATTTTTTTTAGTGATTACTGGATATTTTAAATTTTCTCATTTTAGGTAATTTTGGTAATAGAGTTTTTCCTTAAGAATCATTCATTTTATGCAGATTTTTTAAAACCTTGACATAATATTATTCAATAATTATTTTAATAATCTGTATATCTAATTTTTTCTTTTCCTTGAATAAGCTTGCCAAAAGTTCATGCCTTTATTGTTTCTAAAAATATAGCTCTGTAATTTATTAAGCAATTCTACAACTTATAGTTATAAGTTTATAACTTACTAGTGCTATTGTCAAATCTTAATTGTTCTGAAATTTGAATGTATCTTTCAATAAATGCCGAAGAAATTTGGCAGTGGAGAAATTTGGCAGTGGAGAAATTTGGCAGTGGACACGTAAAGATATAAGCTGAGTCACAGTTGTAGTTGCCACATACATGTGATGGTAGCTATGCATGGAAGACGTGTTCATTCAGTTGCCAATTCAGATGATTTATTTGCATTGATAGCCCAACATGGGGTTAAATTTTAGCTTTAAAATAATTTCTTCAATTTCATTTTTTAAAATGACCTAAAATATCATACCATGTGGCTGCATTGAAATGAAATTTTTTGTTTATGCAGATGATTTTCCATTTCGTACAAGGCAATACAATTAAAGATGGTCAAAGTTGACAGATTTCTCACATAGATAATAGAGCTTCCAAAGCTAGGAATGGGGGTGTGACCAATTTGGCTGACTTTCTAGAGATGCTAATTGTGATCCAGCTATATGTACTTCAGTTAAGGAAAAAAATTATTAGTTCAACCCAGTAGAAAAAGCAAGTAAACTTCTTTAAATGTACTTTCAAATTAAACTGTCAATTCTAAAGATGAATAGTAGTTATGGCCAGAAGAACAGGAATGAAAAACACTGTGTCACGATGATGTAACACAAAACTGATGATTCCAAAAAGACATGCAGAAAGGTTTCAGACTTTGAATGTGAAGAGACAGAAACTAAAAATTTGATTGCAATATTCAAAAAGGAGAAAGAAAGTAGTATGTAATTGCATTGATAAATATATAACACAGTATATTTATTTGCAGATGACATGATGGTATATGTAGAAAGTTCTAAGGAATTTACCAAAAAAAAACCCGACTAGAGATTGATTGCATTTCCATACATTCACGATTGGGAAATTGTATTTTATAAAAACAAGACACATAGTAAACATGCAAAATCAATTATATTTTTACATACTAGCAATTGGGAAAAATAAAACAATAAATGTATAGGATCAAAAACATATAATGTTAACAAAATACATGTAAAACTTCTCGCTACACAGTATATTGAAAAATATATCTAAGAAAAATTTTGAAATTGTTAAATGTATGAAAAAGTAAATCATGATCATGCGTTAGAAGATTCAATATTAAGATATCAGTTGTCTCCAAATTGATACATAGGTTTAATGCACTTCCAATCAAAACCCCATAGGCTTTTTTCACCAGGAAATTAACAAGGTGATTCTAAAATTTATATGGAATTACAATACACCTAGAACAGCCAAAAAAAATCTTGAAAAGGTAGAACCAAGACAGAAAAATTATAATAACCAATATCAAGACTCACTATAAAGCTACAGTAATCAACACTTTTTGTGGTGTTGGTATAAGAATAGGAAAAAAGATCAATTAAACAGGAAAGATAA
Organism: Homo sapiens; assembly: GCF_000001405.40. Lineage (NCBI taxonomy): Eukaryota > Metazoa > Chordata > Mammalia > Primates > Hominidae > Homo > Homo sapiens. The sequence goes on from NC_000009.12 coordinate 99,695,369, forward strand.
TTCATAAATAGATGTATATATGTGTGGTCAGTTGATTTTAAACAAAGGTGCCAAGGTAAATAACTGGGTAAAAGAAAACCTTTCCAACAAGTGGTTAAAAAAAATAAAATAACTAGATGACTGCAACAAACAAATTGAACTTCAACCCCTACCTCACATCAAATATAAAAATTAATATGAAATAGATAATACATCTAGAAGTGAAAAGCAAAATAAAGCTTCTAGGATGAAATACACAATATGTTTGCAACTTTGGCATAGGCAAATATAAAGTACACAAAAAGCACTAACCATATAATATTACTCAATTGAACTTTATCAAAACAAAAATTTCTGCTTATCAGAAGACACTATTAAATAAAAATGTAAGCCGTAGACTGGGAGAAAATATTTACAGCATACACACATATATATATGAATATATATATTTATATATATGTGTGTTACAAATATTGTCTTCTAAATATTTACAACACACACATATATAAATATATATTTTATAAACATACATTATATTATAAATATATGTTATATTTTATAAATATTTATATATTATATATATTACAACACATATATTTTTATATATTATATATTTTATGTATATTTATATATGTGTGTGTTGTAAATATTGTTCATGTGTTATAATATTATAGACATGTTCAGAATGTATTCTATTTCATATGTATTGTAATAGTATGGATATATCCAAAATGTATTATGTTTCATATATATTGTAGTATTGTAGATACAGACAGAATGTGTAAAGAACATTTATAAATCAGTAATAAAATAAATACAGGCATACCTTATTGTATTGCACTTTGTTTTACTATGTTTTGAGAGATATTGCATTTTTTACAAATTGAAGGTTTGTGGCAACCCCACGAGGAGCACGTCTATCAGCACCATTTTTCCAACAGTATGTGCTCGTCTCTGTGTCACATTTTGAGAATTCTCACAATATTTCAAATTTTTTCATTCTTATTATATTTATTATGATGATATGTGACCATTCATTTTTGGTTTTACTACCGTAATTGTTTTAGAGCACTATGAACCACATCCATATAAGACAGTGAACTTAATCAGTAAAGGTTGTGTGTGCTTTCACTGCTCCACCAACCAGTCATTCCCCATCTTGTTCCCTTCTTGTTCCCCAAAACAGCAGTATTGAAATTAGGCCAAATATGACAAACCTGACAAAAACAAGCAATGGGGAAAGGATTCCCTATTTAATAAATGGTGCTGGGAAAACTGGCTAGCCATATGTAGAAAGCTGAAACTGGATCATTTCCTTACACCTTATACAAAAATTAACTCAAGATGGATTAAGGACTTAAATGTTAGACCTAAAACCGTAAAAACCCTAGAAGAAAACCTAGGCAATACCATTCAGGACACAGGCATGGGCAAGGACTTCATGTCTAAAACACCAAAAGCAATGGCAACAAAAGCCAAAATTGACAAATGGGATCTAATTAAACTAAAGAGCTTCTGCACAGCAAAAGAAGCTATCATCAGAGTGAATAGGCAACCTACAGAATGGGAGAAAATTTTTGCAACCTCCTCATCTGACAAAGGGCTAATATCCAGAATCTACAATGAACTCAAACAAATTTACAAGAAAAAAACAAACAACCCCATCAAAAAGTGGGCAAATGACATGAACAGACACTTCTCAAAAGAAGACATTTATGCAGCCAAAAAACACATGAAAAATGTTCATCATCACTGGCCATCAGAGAAATGCAAATCAAAACCACAATGAGATACCATCTCACACCAGTTAGAATGGCAATCATTAAAAAGTCAGGAAAAAACAGGTGCTGGAGAGGATGTGGAGAAATAGGAACACTTTTACACTGTTGGTGGGACTGTAAACTAGTTCAACCATTGTGGAAGTCAGTGTGGCGATTCCTCAGGGATCTAGAACTAGAAATAGCATTTGACCCAGCCATCCCATTACTGGGTATATACCCAAAGGATTATAAATCATGCTGCTATAAAGACACATGCACACGTATGTTTATAGCGGCACTATTCACAATAGCAAAGACTTGGAACCAACCTAAATGTCCAACAATGATAGACTGGATTAAGAAAATGTGGCACATATACACCATGGAATACTATGCAGCCATAAGAAATGATAAGTTCATGTCCTTTGTAGGGACATGGATGAAACTGGAAACCATCATTCTCAGCAAACTATCACAAGGACAAAAAACCAAACACCGCATGTTCTCACTCATAGGTGGGAATTGAACAATGAGAACACATGGGCACAGGAAGGGGAACATCACACACTGGGGACTGTTGTGGGGTGGGGGGCGGGGGAAGGGATAGCATTAGGAGATATACCTAATGCTAAATGACGAGTTAATGGGTGCAGCACACCAACATGGCACATGTATACATATGTAACAAATCTGCACGTTGTGCACATGTACCCTAAAACTTAAAGTATAATAATAATAAAATTAAAAAATAAAAAAAAATAAAGAAATTAGGCCAAATAAAAACCCTACACTGGTCTCTAAGTGTTCAAGTAAAAGGAAGAGTCACAGATCTCTCACTTTAAATAAAAAGGTAGAAATCATTAAGCTTAGTGAGTAAAGCATGCCAAAAGTCAAGACAGGCCAAAAGGTAGGCTTCTTGATCTAAACAGTTAGTCAAGTTGTGAAAGCAAAGGAAAAGTTCTTGAAGTATATTAAAAGTGCTATTCCAGTGAACACTCAAATGATAGAAAAAGCAAAACAGTCTTATTGCCAATACAGAGAAAGCATTAATGGTCTGGATAGAAGATTAAACCAGCCACAACAGTAAGCCAAAGCCTAATCCAGGGCAAGGCCCTAACTCTCTTCAATTCTATGAAGGTTGAGAAAGGGAAAGAAGTGGCAGAAGAAAAGTTTGAAGCTATCAGAGGTTTGTTCATGAGGTTTAAGGAAAGAAGCCATCTCTATAATGTAGAAGTGCAAGGTGAAGCAGCAAGTGCTAATATTGAAGCTGCAGCAAGTTATCTGGAAGATTCAGCCAAGTTAATTGATGAAAGTGGCTACACTAAACAACAGATTTTCAATGTAGACAAAACATCCTTCTATTGGAAGCAGATGACATCTAGGACTTTCATAGCTAGAGAAGAGAAGTCAATGCCTGGCTCCAAAGCCTCAAAGGACAGGCTGACTCTATTGTTAGGGGCCAATGAAACTGCTGACTTTAAGCTGTAGTCAGTGCTCATTTACCATTCTGAAAGTCCTAGGTCCCTTAAGAATTGTACTAAATCTGCTTTGCCTGTGCTCTATAAATGGAACAACAGAGCCTGGATGACAATACATATGTTTACAGCATGATTTACTGAATATTTCAAGCCCACTGTTGAGACCTACTGCTTAGGAAAAAAAAATTATTCTCTCAAAATATTACTGCTCATTGGCAGTGCACCTGGTCACTTAAGAGCGCTGATGATTAACGTTTTGTTCATGCCTTCTAACACAACATCCATTCTGCAGCCCATAGATCAAGCAGTAATTTTGACTTATAAGTCTTATTAATTAAGAAATACATTCCATAAGGCTATAGTGGCCATAGATAGTTATTCCTCTAGTGAAGCAGGGCAACATAAATTGAAAACTTTCTGGAAAGGATCACCAATTTAGGTGTCATTAAGAATATTTGTCATTCATGAGAGAAGGTCAAAATATCATTAAGAATATTTGTCATTCATGAGAGAAGGTCAGACATGCATAAGAGTGTGGAAGAAGTTGGTTCCAACCTTTATGGATGACCTGGAGGGCTTCAAGACTTCAGTGGAGGAAGTCACTGCAGATGTGGTGGAAATAGCAAGACAATTAGAATTAGAAGTGGGTCCAAAGATGTGACTGAATTGCAGCAATCTTATTATAAAACTAATGAATAAGGAGTTGCTTCTTATGGATGAACATACAAAGTGATTTCTTGAGATTAAATCTACTCCTAATAAAGATACTGTGAACACTGTTGAAATGACAACAAACGATTTAGAATGTTACATAAACTTAGTTGATAAAGCAGCAGCAGATTTTGAGAGGATTAACTTCAGTTTTGAAAGAAGTTTTACTGTGGGTAAAATACTATCAAATAGCACCACATCCTACAGAGAAATCTTGTAAAAGGAAGAGTCAATCAATGCAGCCAACTTCATTGTCTTATTTTAAGAAATTGCCACAGCCACCCAGGCTTCGGCAGCCACCACCCTGATCAGTCAGCAACGATTAACATCAAGGCAAGAACCTCCGTCAATAAAAAGATTATGACTCAGTGAAGGCTCAGATGATTGTTAGCATTTTTAACAATAAAGTATTTTTAATTAAGGTATGTACATTTTTATATATAATGCTTTTTCACATTTAATAGACCCCAGTATAGCATAAATGCAACTTTTATATGCATTGGAAAACCAAAAAAATGCATGCATCTCACTTTATTGTAGGATCTAGAACCAAACCCACAATGTCTCTGGCTTATGCCTGTAAATAAAAATTGGAATTTAAAAGCATATGAATAGCCAATAAGCACATGGAAGGGTGTTCAACATCATTAGTCATCAAGAAAATTGTAAGTTATAACCATGATGGGATACCATATCACATTTACTAGGATTAAATTTTTTTTAAGTAAATAGCAAATGTTTGCAAAGATGTGGTGCAGTTAAAATTCTCATTCACTCAGGGTGCAATTTAACAACAACTTTTGAAGACTCCGTCCATTCTTTATAAAGTTAAATATATACCACAGGCATATACATTGTCAAAGTATATACCTGTCAAAGTGTATACCAAAGTTTATCAAATTATACTTAATATCTGAATATTGTATTGCATGTATAGCCTACCTCAATACAAAAATTTTTTCAAGTAATACTTAGCTAAATCTTTATAACTGAAAAGGCCTGAGTTTAGAAATTTTGGAAAAATTATTCTAACCAGTCTTCTGTCTAAAGTTATGTTTATAATTTCTTGTTTGCCACAGGAATTATTTAGGAGAGTATCTTGTTTACATGTAATTATTAATTTCTAGTTTTAGTGGATAGTGGTCAAGAATGTAATTTGTATAATTTCTGCTGTTGATCTCTGTAAATATTTTTCATCCAAAGCTAATAAATTTCCATAAAGATCCAATTATCACAGTTTAAAATAAGGAAGCCTAAAATATCCAAACAGAGATAATAGATATAAAAAATGGAAAGATATAAAAGAGTAGAAATGAAATTAGAAAATATTGGTTTTTATATTTTTTAATATAATCTGTCAATGATTAATTTTTCTTTATATTTCAAATAAATTATCTACTACATATCTCAAAGGAATATTATTTTTCTGCTTAAATGTATTTTCATTTGGAACTGTACCCTTATTAAAATAAAATAATTATTTTTAAGTTCCTTGTATCACATTGCTTTGAGTATATTTCCCACAAATAGAACTTAGTTGAATTTCACAGGGTTTAAAAAAATAATCTGAGAATTCAGATCTTTAAATATGTAATTTATCTCAATTATTGACAGCTAAGACTGGCATAGCAGATCTTTATTCTTTCCTGTTTTCTGTTTTCAAACTTTCTTAGGGTTCCCTTTGTTTTGTACCTTGTTTTTAGATGGACTAGTTCTTTTTTTAATTGTAGCTATTTATATTTTTATTTTCAAAGAAGATTTTCTCTAGATAAAGGATTTTGTGACTGAAAAACACTTGACTAACACATATTTGGACCTATCCCTATTTTAATTGGTTTCAGACTAAGGCCAATCCTTTTCTAGCATAAGTTCTCCATTTCTTCAAGCAATTGTTTTCAAGGAGGGCATACATCTCTTGAGTCTTTGTGTATTTAAATTTTTTTTTGTTATTTCACAAGTTATAGATGACTAGGCTGGGTATAAAAGCAGTAAGTTATAACTTTGGTTCTCAAAACTCTATACAATACTCCATTTTCTTCTAAATTTAAGCTTTCACAGTAAAAGCCAGAGAATAGTCAGACTTCTGTTATATTTTTAGGTAGTCTGTTTCTTCTGCTTAGATGCTTATGAAAGTTTTTCTTATCATTATGAATTAAAATTGTTGCCAGGATACATCATTGTATGTGGCTTTGTTCATTGATTTGTCTGGAACACAATGATTTTTTTCAATCTGGATCTTACTTCTGCTCATGAATTTTTTCCTGTTATATCTAATTATTGCTTTTATTCCATTTAAGTATTTTTTCGGGAATGCCAATTATCCACATATTTACTCTTGGCTCTTTGATATTCATATTTTTTGTATTCTATGGAGAAAGCCAGATGGTTCCCTAAAGTCCTCCAGTTTATGGATCCTCCACTAAATCCTTTCGGTGAAAAAGTGCTCTCCCTCTGTGTCTTCTAAATACTCTGTTCCCCTGTAGTAAAGTATTTTTCAAAGACTTCATGTGGTTTTCCCCCCTTCTTATTTAACTTGAACAATGTGAAATTTATTCTGATTCGGTGTTTATCAGGGCAGGAGAGTTGAAGTACGTTTTGCTCTACTTTATTTATCTGATGTGCACAGCATCTGGTCCAAGCCCCAGCAGTCTGCATCAGTGGTCCCCAAACTTTTTGGCATCAGGGACCAGTTTTATGGAAGACAGTTTTTCCATGGATGGGGCGGGGTGGGGTGGCAGGATGGTTTCAAGATGAAACTGTTCCACCTCAGATCATCAGGCATTAGATTCTCATAAGAAGCACGCAACCTAGATCCCTTGCATGCGCAGTTCACAATAGGGTTTGTGCTCCTAAAAGAATCTAATGCTACCACTTATCTGGCAGGAGGCAGAGCTCAGGTGGTAATGCTCACTTGCCAGCTGCTCACCTCCTGCTGTGTGGCCCAATTCATAACAGGTCACAGATGGATACCGCTCCATGGCCCAGGGGTTGAGGACCCCGGTCTACATGACTTCATCTAATGCACCTCTCTACCACTGAGGTTCCATCAGGCTCCACAAACAGTCTGATTTGCAGTGTACATAAGAATCTACAATTCCAAGCATGCTGTTACCAGGGTTTATTGTTTTGTGTGGTGGTGGTAGTGGTGGTAGTGGTGGTAGTGGTGTAGTAGTAGTAGTGTTTTGGTTGTCAACCCAAACTATAAGAGCTTTACCTGCAAGAAATTTTCCTCTGAAATGCAATATGCCTCCACCAGCCTTCCCACTGGTGGCCAAAACTGACCTAGCACCCAAGTTGTTTCCTAGGCATTTTAATTTCTCTGGATGTAGAATGATATCACAACATTCTCAGATTAACAAATCAATCCACATGGGTAAAAGCCCACCTGCCCAATTTTTTATTGGAGCCAATCCTGAGTCTCTGAGTCTGATAATGGATAGATAACAGAGAGGACTCCACATACCCTCCCTCCTCATTTAAAAGGGTTTCTATGTCATGTAAAGTTGTCTGTTATGCCATAGAAAGAGACCTGGGTAGTTTTGTCTCAATTTTTCCTTTTATAATTAGTATAGATTCTTCCCCAGTGTTGAAATTATGCTGGCCATTGCTTTTATTATTGTATTTCAATTACTATCTTTTTTCTTTACCTTCATAGGCATTTTATTAAGAAAACTGAGAAACACTACACCAGGGGCTGCTAGCCAGGCTCCATTTTTAGCTGGAACTCCTATAGCTTCTTAATGAATAATTAAAACATGCCTGGGGAGGATATTCAACAACTAAATCAATGCTAGAGATTATTTGCTAAAGAAGTATAATCTGGCCACCTAACTGTGAAAAGATAGAAAATATTTTTTAAGAGAGAAATAAAATGCCTAACAACTGACTAAGATCCCTAATAGAAATGATGACAAAGGATGGTATTCCTAAAATAAAAGGCTTATGCAGACAGCTCAAGTTGCTCTCCACCCAAGCAGAATTAAGAGTACCATTCTGCAGATTTGGGATTAATGTCACCAGATCGAGTCCTAGCTATAATGCAGGCAATAACGTTTTGTAAAAAAGAACACCATGTGGCGGCCTTGCTAATCTTCTGGATGAGAATCAGTTGGAAGTTGGCAACACATATTGACATGCCTTGGACTAAAAGAAGTTCTTAACATGACACTGCAGTTTTTAGGGCTACTCACAATTAATATGAGAGACATGGTCAAATATAGTGTGGAATATGGACAACTATAAAATTGTTGAATACTAAGCACTTAAGTCAAATGAAATCTTCAAATTTTGGAATAGTTCAAATAAAAGCCTAGAGGTAACTGGAGATCACAGTTGATGTCTATTTGGATGGAGAACAGGAAAACTACTGCTAGAGGAGGGTCCATTTAAGGTTGAATTTGGCCGTTATTTTTGAAAAGGATTTAGGTCTAAGTTCTTTAGTTTGAGAACGTACAGAAATGGGTAGATAGCTCATTCTGGAAGCTGAAACTGCTTCTACCAAGAATAAAATGTTCCCCCATGAGAAATATGAGCTCTCCATGTTTAGAGCCCTAAATAAAGGAGGTCCAATCCCCTTTCTGAGGTCAATGCTAATATCCTCAGCCTTCCAAGAGAGTTTAACAACTCCAAGTTCTCCTCCAGCCAAATGAGGAAAAACTTAACAAGAAAGAGCTTGCCTTCAACATGGCTAAAACTACAGCCTGATTTAACCTATTTTCCCAAATAAGATGTATCATAAAGCAGGATAGGGATACTAAAAGGGGATGGGAACTGAGGGACTAAGACTGGGATAGGATCAAGAGGTGGGCAAAATGTTTTTAATAGCAAAACCTCAGTACTCTGGCAGCACATAACAGGGAAGCATCTTGTCTGAACTAGTCAGCCCTGCCCTTTCAATAGGAGGGGCCCAGCTAATCCTTGGATAAAATTATTTTAGAACTAAAAGAGAATTTAGAGATTATCTAGTCTAGCCCCCTTGCTTAAGGACACTTGGGCCCTGAGAGATTAAAAGACTTGCTGGGCTCACATGGTTAATTAGTTGCAGAAGTGGAATTATAACTCAAAATCTCCTGATGCTCATTATGATGTTCTTCTTGCTCCTTTTATGGAAATTCTAAGGGAGGCAGCATGACACAGCCAAAACAGAACTATTTCAACTCCAGTTTTTGAGTTCTAGTCTTCTCCGTCCTAGTTTCAGTGATAGAATCCTAGAAGCCAGGACTTCATTTTGTTCCATCTGCTACCCAAAGCAAGAATCCACAAAATGATAGTAGCAATGAGCAACTGTGTGGGCAACTAGGCTCTTGTAAACCCCTCTCAGGGATGGATCTCTCACTGCCTCAGAGGGAGCTGATATGACTCGGCAGCAGCTTTTCTTGATGACCTGAAATCTGCTTCCCTGAAATTTTTATTTTGACCTCCAAGAAGGCACCTTCTTCTCTTCCACATGATAGCACTGCTCATTTAATTCAACAAATATTCACGCAAAGCCTGTATTTGCTAGGTTGCATTCTGTATTTTGGAACTATAAACCTGACATTGCAGAACACATAATCTAGTCAGGAAGATGATCCTTAATTGCTATTAAATATGATAATACATGCATATAATTGCCAGGCACATGTAAATACTCAATAAATACTAGACATTATTCTTATTAACTATTATACAGCTATTTCATCTTTTCATGCCCAAACTAAATCTCCACTTTGCTTAAGCATGCAACATAGAATGTGGCCTCTAGATCAGGGGTTGGCAAACTTTTTCTTTACAGGGCCAGACGGTAAATACTTTAGCTTTTGCAAGCCATATGGTTTCTGCCACAACTACTCAATCCTGCATTTCTAGCATGAAAGCAGCTATAGAGAATATGTAAATGATGGCTGTGGCTGTGTTCTAATAAAACTTTATTTATCAAAACAGGCAACTGCTTGCATTTGACCCACAGGCCACAGTGTGCCAACCTCTGCTTTAGATGCTTCACTGTCTCCACCACCCTAGTTCAGTTTGACAATGACTTTCTAAAGTGGAAAGATAAACACCTTTAGGGTCTGCCCTAAAGATAGCAGGACCAGTATAAAGTACAATAGTGTTATAAATACCATGAGTAGGATACTATAAGCCAATTGCTATAGCTCATGATGGTTATCTTTTAAAGTAAGAAGAGTATTTACATCAATTTACTTTTAGTTTAAATGTGCATGCAGGGATATGATCCCATTTTATTTTATTTGCTGCATCCCATTGTTGGCTTATATTAATTTTGAGGTCATCTAGAAATCCTGATTCCTGAGAGTAAAGATGAAGTATCTTATTAAATCAAAGTTATCATTCTAAACAATGGGAAACCTCCAACCCCCTTTCTTCAAATCAGCTTTCAAAATTCTGAGAGGCAGACTTAAATCTACTACCTGCACCAACCCCTTGCCATCCCCCTAACCAGGGCAAGAGATTAAAGGATTCCACCCTAGGAAAATAGGCTTTACAAAAAGATACTGGTATTTACAAATCCCCAGCTAAAAAGCTGAGCTCTTTCTGGGGTGGACAGTGAAGTTTACCCTACCAGTTGTCAAGCCCTGCCTGTAAATACATAGCTTTCAATTAGCTTTTTTAGTGCCTCATTTTTAAATATGATCAGATAGCCAGGGATCACCAGGCATTTCAGCAAAACCTCCAATTTTTTTCATAGAGACCTATATAAACATGAAAAAAAGAAGCAGCAGCCCAAATAACTAGAAACAATATAAGGAATTTTAAAACATCTTCCCATTGCAAAAAAGCTGTAACTAATATTTTCTGAGAAAAGTTGTTAAACCTATTAGATTAATTAAACAATTAGTAGGATGCTATGGGGGCAAGTGATATTCAGATATTCAGAGAATATGAAAAACATTAGTATTTAAAAATATGACAATAGAAAAAGCAAATATAAAACCTAGAATATAAAGTTGAGAAAGTCATTCAGAAAATAGAATGAAAAGAAAAAGTGAGAGCATCAGTATAGAAGATCTAACATTTAGTTAATAATAGGAATTCCAAAATGAAAGAACAGGGAAAACAGAAAAGAGGATATTATCAAAGAAATAAAGCAGGGGAATTTTCTAGAACTGAAGGAAATTAAACACTGGATTGAAATGTCCCATAATTGCTCAGCCCAACACACACAGCACCTTCAGCCATCATAGCGCAAGTGGTTAGTTGATGTATGGAGTTACTCATACAACCAATATTTATTGACTGGGGTCAGGCACTGGTGGTCCAGCACACACAGGAAAGACAAAATCCCTGACTTTGAGAAGGCTAGAGGCTAATGGTGGGTCAACCTGCTTCATGTATCCCCCAGAGACTCACTTCACTAAAAGACACATTTTACCCCAGACTAAGAAGTGTTTGGCTTTAGTGAACCATAAGCCTGATCCAGATGATTGTCCTGCACCATCATAACTGACAGCCTCACTCTTCATCTTGGGAGGCTGGCAGAAACTTAACTTTCCTCCTCAAGGAGGGTCTTCCTTGCCCCAATTCTCTGAAACAGGTTATATGTAAATACTTATGCCTTCTTTCTGCAGTCCACCATGACAACCGACCTTCCCCCAGAGTTGGCATAATAGTAGAAATCATGTTGACCACAACAACAAACATGTGATGTATGGCCTTCTCGAATCTCTTTTTTTAATGAGATGTAAACAAGCAAATAAGGATAAATAAATATGTAAAATTCGGCTTAGCACTTTGCTGGCTTTTTTCACACATTATCTTTACAATTTTGTAAAGTACACATTCATGACCATTTATATACAAATTTCAAAAGGGTTTCAGTAACCTCCCCAGGGACTCACAGCTAGGGAATGGCGCAGCTGGAGTCACATCCAAGGCCTCCGATCCAAACCCCAAGTTCTTCCTTCCCTTGTACAGACTCAAATGTACAATCAACGTTCCTCTTAAACTCCTCTCACAAAAAACTTGTGTAAATCCACATCTATCTTAAAATCACCTCCTAAATTAATCATTAGTAATCATGCATCACAAATTAATCTCTGAATTGATGCAATAGAAGACTTGACATTACCAGGAAGCATATACGAGGTACCAAGATCCTGATCTGAGGGAGACAACAAACTAACAAAAAACTCAAGGGGGCCATACATGCACCATGGTTCTCATAGAGGACTCATGGATTGTGAGTTGTTTACCAATGAGTTAAAACCCTTCGTACATGCTTACCAAACACTTTTACTTTTTGTGTGTGTGTGATTGTTTTATTCTTTACCCATTTTTTCTATTGGGATATTCATGGCTAGTGAGGTGGAAATTATTATGTCCCCTTGGAATTTTTCATATAAAGAAGAGTTGAAGGAAAGGCTTGTGTAGTCTGAGAAAAAGAAGCCTCTGGTCAGACGTGATTATAAACCATAGACACTTAAAGAGCTGCTCTTGATGTAGGAGCCCATGTAGGAAACAGAGTACGAACTGCCATTTATTAGGTGTTAAAACATGAAAACTGGAATTTCTACAAACCAAACAGCCTGAGTCAGATTTCAAGATAGTCTGGATATCATCTGAAGACAGTCTCTCATCCATCTCTCTGTAGATATCTGGATAGACATGGAATTGTATCCACCCTACTCCAACTCACAGCAGGGGACTAGGGTCTGGGCTTATTTATACCCCAGATCTTCCCAGCTAAGTCCAGAAAATGAAGGATGAATCGAAGTGAATTCTAGTCTTGAATGTTTACCACATTCAAGGGATGTTAGCCACAGCAGAATTGTACTCATCATACTTCTTATTACAAATAGTACCACAGAACTCCCGGAGATATTGCAGGACAAATGAACCTTAGCCACAAATTTTTGTCAGTGTTTTTTCAGAGGCCTTGGGCCCTGGTTTTAAGTAGAAGTATACTCCTTCAGGCTGGAATTCAATACGACTCCCCAGGTAGTAGCTGTACCTTGATGAGTTCACTTAGCCCAGTGGTATTTCAGCCATGTTCAAAGCTACATTTGTAAGAACAGAGTCTAATCTTTAAATCTGTCCAATACCCTATAGCCTATCATAGCCATGTTCAGCAGACAAGTTTCACAGTCTCAGAGTTTCAAAGCCAATGAAAGTCTCAAGAGTAGATTGTTGACCATAAAAGAAGTAGGGGCACAAAACTAGACCAGGTCTGTTCGCACTTTAGGAAACATTTCAGAAATTACCTAACATCAGCTGGGCATGGTGGCTCATGCCTGTAGTCCCAGCTTCTCAGGAGGCTGAGACAGGAGGATTGCTTGAGCTCAGGAGTTCGAGGCTGCAGTGGGCCATGATCGCACCCCTGCACTCCAGGCTGGGTGACAAAGAGAGAGCCCCATCTCTACAGAAAAGTTAATGAATAAATTGAAAGAAGAAATCATCCAGCAACTATGGGTGAGTGGTCAAGAAGCTTAAGGCTGCTGTTTCATAGACAGAACATCAGTCTAGTTGCCCATCATTGGTCATTCAAGTAGGAAAGGACATCTCACCTGCCTAGATTCTTCCTCATATATGGGCACAGACTGTGCCAAGGCCCCAGCAGGTCTGATGGACAGATGTGAGTAGCAGTCATTCCACCTTCTTGCTAGTATGCACACAGGAACAAAGCTTGGACAGACAGCCATGCTAGCTTATTTAAGAAGAATTTGACAAAGCCCTCCAATAGCTAGGCACCTAAGGCACTATCATCCAAGTAATAGCAGCTAATAGTGATCCTCTCTCATCTCTCTACTCCAGTCTCCCCAGCCAGAAATAGCAAATCCGTCCATGCCAAAATGATGTACACTCATTGCAGCACTCCTGAAGCATTAAAAATTCTCCCATACATGAAATTTCTTTGGCCTGCAGGTAAACATGACATTTCTCCATATTCTCATTTAAAAAACACAAACACATTTGACTACTTCATATTTTTAGATGCCACAAATAAAATCATAGCCAAAATTAAAAAGCAAACAACCAACTAGAAAAAGTATGTACAGCAAATATGAAAGAGAAACAGTTTATATCTTTGTTGTTTGAGAAACTAATAGGTAAAAAAAAAGCACAGTCATAAAAAGACAATCAAAGAGAAATTATAACTATTATAAAATACACACAGAGACCATCAAAAATTTTATTTCAAAGAATGCACATTTCTCTTATTATTTGGTTTCCTAACAAAATGTTTTTAATGATTTTTAAATTAGACCTAGACCACTACCTCTTTTACCACCAGTCCTTCCCCAACCCTAGGTGTGAGCTCACATGAGCCCCTCAGAGCCCATAGGTCCCAATGTGATAGACCAGGTATATCAGCTTCATTTCATCTCTGAATGCCCCCTGTCTCTTTCTCTGGTAATTTTTCATAAGGAACACAGCAAAGGGAAAACAAGTCCGGAAATCAGGTACCTCATACCTGAAAATATATGTTTGTTTTTTCATAAAGAAAAGCAATTCTAACTGTATAGCATAAAGCAAATGTATGAGATTGGGAGGATGTGAACTGGTTTGCTAAGGATACAATTGAACTTGAATTACGAATTCACAAAATGTAAGCAACAATCATTGAAGAGCGTAGAAAATATACTGCTGACCTAGAACCCTGGCTTTCACACTTTCACAGCTTTTCAGAACACAAGAATCATTCACTAAATACTGACAAGAATTCTTAGAATAGAACAGAGAGAAGAGACAGATTTGTCCCTGCCCTTTGATGGGTGTCTTGGCAGGTCAGTGGATTCTCTGACTAGCTGGTTTAATTAAACCCAAAGCAGCTGAGATCCGACCCCTAGAAATAAGGAAAGAGCTCCACAGACCAGAATGTATCCCAAGAAGAAACTTCGACTCTAGATAGAATAATCAGATTAGAAAGAAGTGTTCATTCTAGGCAGGAATCATAGAATTTTAGATTAGAGAAGACCTAACACCGAAAGTGCCTACGTAATGCACGAATGGATGAACATGCAGTTCTCCTGGGAGTACACCACCTTACAATTGTTGAATAGAACTTCCTTCCATACCATATACTAACTTGAAATCTTCCTCCCTGTTTAACTTTAGACCCAGGTGGTGTGGCACACATCACTTGGAAATCTGTCCTGGTTGCTTACATCTAATATTGGACCAGGTAATGTTGCTAATCTGAGTGTGACAGTATAAGGAGTGAATGGAATCCTGTGAGTGTCCTTTTAATGTTTCCCCACACATCCTTTCTTCCTTCCCTCTGGCTCAGAGGAAGAGTGTCTCCCCTCCATCAAAAGTTCCTCTTTCCATCTGCACTCTATCCCAGTGGTTCTCAAACTTTAAGGTGTATCAGAATTGCCTGGAGAGCTTAATAAAACATAGATTAGGAGTTACCATTCCAAAGTTGCTGATTCACTAGGTCTTGGATGTGGCTCAAGAATTTGTGTTTCTAAGTTCCCAGGTGATGCTGATGCTGCTGGTCCAGGAGCCACACTCTAAGAACCATCACTCTATATTAGAGGTCAAAAACCTTCTGTCGAGGGCCAGACAGGAAATAGTTCAGACTTTGCAGGCCATATGTTCTCAGTTGCAACTACTCAACTCTACCATTGTCGTGTGAAAACCGATAGACACAATACATAAATGAGTAGATATTCACTGTGTTCCAATAAAACTTTAGTCACAAAAAAATAGGTCATGGACCAGCATATGTGCTGTCATTTATCAAATTCTGCACCAGACCCTTGCTGCTCAGAGTTCTACTCTCATCCCTTCCCTTTACACCCAAGTTCCTTGAACAAGTCAACGCTCATTGTCTCCTCTTCTATACTTCTCATTCTTTCTGCAACCCCCATAATCTGGCTTCCACACCTTCTATTCCACTGAAATTGCTCTCAGCAGTCACCAGTGCTATCATATGAGAATTTTCCGTCCTTTTCTTATCTACACGTTTCTCTTGCAATAGCGATGTTGACCACTCATCTTTTTCAGTTTCCTCTGCTGGCTTCTTTGACATCACTTTCTCATAGCTCCCAGCATACTTTTCTTTCTGCTGCTGCTGAGTTTTCCATTTCTCTGACCAGGACCAGCTTCATAGAAGTGAAACCAGTGCAGTGGCACAAGACCCAGTGCTCAGAAGGGCACTTGCTTGGGATTTAATGTTTTGCAGTCATTATCTTGAAATTCTTAATTTTATCTTTGAATTTCTGTTTTATAAGTGAAGTCCAATGGGACAATGAAAACATGTGCTGGGCTTGGAGCCTCAGCTCATGTTCATCCTGTCTCTTACCATTTCCCAGAGGTGAGTTATCAGTACCTACGTGTATTCCCCCTTTGCCTCCCTGGTCCTGCCTGGTCTTCCCCTCTCACCCTCCACCTCATGAGTGCTGCCACCCTCTGCCCCTGGGAAGGGCCTGCGTAGTGTCCAAGGAGTTGAGTGCACATTTCATTCCTGCGTAACACTGGCAGCATTCTAGCGCATGTGGCTGGTAATGTGGTGGGGTTGCATGTTGGCACATAAACCTCTTAGCCACCCCCATGCAGGTACTGAGCATGTTGTGACACAGAGGTTTAAAGATCCTTAGGGATCATCCATATGCCATAAGTTAGGGCAGCAGATCATGGACAGAGGAGATGCCCAGCTTGACTTCCTCAAACTTCACTGTTGGCCAGGGCATGGGCATGGCAGAAGGGAAGAAGTAGCAGCCTTCAGCCGAAGCAAACATGCAGGGCTCCCAGGCACTTGTGAGGGTCTGCGCTTGTCCCACAAGCATTCTTTTGGTCAGCCCCATTGTTGGGGGAATAGGAGGAGATCTTTCTGTTTTCCTCCAAACTTCCTGAGTCTGGCTTGAATTTGTCTCTTCTGTATAGCTCAAGGCACCCTCCAGAGATGAGCCATGAAATATAAATATTCTGATATTTGCATTAAAACTTGGCATTGCTAAAGGAAGCCAGTCACAAAGACCACATATTGTATGATTCAATTTACATTACATGTCCAGAATAGACAAAACTACAGAGACAGAAAGTAGATTAATGGTTGCCTAGGACTGGGGAAGAGGATAATTGAGATTGCCAATGGGTGCAGTGGTGTTTTGTTCTGAGATGATGAAAATGTTCTAAAATTAAATTGTGGTGATGGTTGCACAACTCTGTGAACATACTAAAAACCACTGAATGAAGCATTTTAAATGGATGAATTTATTGTATGTAAATTTATGTCAATAAAGTTGTTAAAAATTGGCATTGCACAATATAGAGATGAATGATAAAATTCAGCTAATAATTTAAAGTTTTAGTTTTTCCTTATTTGGAATGATATTAAGTAGGAAGCAAAACCACCATGATGGCAAGAGAGAGTTCATGGAAGAAAGGAAAATACTTTGCAATACACCTTTAACAGTGCTTTCTTCCCCTGCATTTTGAACAATGGGTTTCATATTTTTATTTGTATTAGCTCTGCCTCTGATCTCTTAAACACTGGTATTTTCCATGGCTTTGCCTGAGCCTTTTTTTTGTTTCACAGTTTCCCCAGGCAGACTTATCCAAGCTACAACATGTTCCCTCATGACTCCCAAATGTTATCTCCAGCCCAGACCACCTCACATACAAATATCCAAAGGTATATATCCAGTGAATAGCTCAAAAGATACTGAGAACTCAATATATGTAAACTTGTACTCATAATCTGCTCCTTCTCTACATTTTTCATTTTGTTGAAGGACATTACCATCCACTAAATTGCTAAAACCAGGAACACTGGAGTCCTCCTATTATTTCTTCCCACCTCCTTTCATCCAATTACTCTGTAAATCCTATAAATTCTAAAACCCAAGTGTCTTCCAATCTAGGCCTTCTTTTTTATGTGAAATTATTATTATTTAAATAATTTCAACTTTTATTTTAGATTCAGGGTGCATATGTGCAGTTCGTTACCCTGGGTAGATTGCATGATGCTAAGGTTTGGGATATGCTTGATCCTGTCACCCAGGTACTGAGCATAGTGCCCAATAGTTATTCAATACTCGCCCCTACCTCCCATACTCCCCGCTCTAGTAGTCCCCAGTGTCTATCATGTCTACTTTTGCCAACTTTATGTCCATGGGTACCCATTGTTTAGCTCTAACTTATAAGTGAGATTTTGCAGTATTTGGTTTTCTGTTTCTGTGTTAATTTGTTTAGGATAATGGCCTCTACCTGCATCCATGTTGCTACAATGAACATTATTTCATTCTTTTTATGCCTGCATAGTATTCCATGGTGTATATGTACTATATTTTCTTTATCTAATCCATGATTGATGGGCACTTAGGTTGATTCCATGTCTTTGCTATTGTGAATAGTGCTATGACGAACATATGAATGCGTGTGCCTTTTTGGTAGAACGATTTATTTTGTTTTGGATATATACCCAGTAATGGGATTTCTTAGTCAAATGGTAGTTTTGTGTTATCAGTTTTGAGAAATCAGATTTCTCAAAATCAGTTTTGAGACATCTCCAAACTGATTTCCACAGTAGTTGAACTAATTTACTTTCTCTCCAACAATATATAAGCGTTCCCTTTTCTCTGCAACCTCACCAGCATCTGTTCTTATTTTTTGACTTTTTAATAATAGCCACTCTAACTGGTGTGAGACGGTATTGCACTGTGGTTTTGATTTGCATTTCTCTGATGATTAGTGATGTTGAGCATTTTTTCATGTTTCTTGGCTACTTGCATGTCTTCTTTTGAAAACTGTCTGTTTATGTCTTTTGCCCATTTTTAACCTTCTTGGTTAGATGTATTCTAGTTGGGAGGGGTGGTGTTCGGGGGCCTTTTTGTTTGGTTTTGGTTTTGTATAGGCCCTCTTCTTAATCTCCTCTGCCTCTGGCCTTGTTCATACCCCCATCAAATCTTACCTTGACTATTAAAAAGGTTTTGTTATGAGTCTCTTTGTCTTTAACCTTAACCACCTGCAATTCATGGCTTACATTTTCTAAAATGTAAATCTGACCACGTCACTTCCCAGCTCAAAACAATCAGATGTGTCACTATAGCTTACAAGATAAAACGGAAATGTCTCATCATGGTATACAAGTCCCTTAGATATATAAAGCCTTTTTAAAATTTCATGATAGTATTTTCATAATAGAGAAACACTGAAAACAACATAAATGCACAATGAAAACATGGTCAAGTAACTTGTGTTACATCAACTTGATGAGTGGACTCCCTTAAAATGTTAAAATATTAATTGTAAAAATAAATGTCAGTTTATTCATGTGGTATTTTATTATATTATGCAGTCATTTAAAATCAGGTTGAAAAATAGTTCACTAAAACCTTTAACTCCATTAGTATGACGGGCTAAGTGCCAAAATTGACCATCTCTGTCAAGATAAAAAACAACTAAAACTAAAATACTAAAACTGAAAGGTAAAAATGGTTATATATTTTAAATTAATGATATGGCAAGAATATAAAAGATACCGAAGCCAAACTTTAGAAAAGACACCACTGCAGCTGGCTGTCTCCATTAGAATACTTGCCAAATCAGCTCAATTTGAGTTTAAGTTTTCAAAATTTTCTGGGGATTGCCTCAATGTGAGAAATCAATGGGCAACTCCTCCCACAAAGTTGAAATCTCAAAGGGCTATGCCCCTGCAATAAGAATTAACCAGAAAGAAACTGACTCCACCTTCAAAGAACTGGTAGTGACAGCCAGCCTTTATGTGGGTTTATACCCACAATTTACATTACTTGATAAGTTTATGTTTGTTTTTGAGACAGAGTCCCACTCTGTAGCCCAGGCTGGAGTGCAGTGGCATGATCTCAGCTCACTGCAACCTCCACCTCCCAGGTTCTCCTGCTTCAGCCTCCCAAGTAGCTGGGACTACAGGAGTGTGCTACCATGCCCCGCTAATTTTTGTATATTTAGTAGAGACGGGGTTTCACTATGTTGGCCAGCCAGTTTCGAACTCCTGGCCTCAAGTGATCTGCCTGTCTCAGCCTCCTGAAGGGCTGGGATTACAGGCATGAGCCACCATGCCCGATGGACTCAGCAGTTGTTGTTGTTGTTTGTTTTTCAAGATGAAGTCTCACTCTGTCACCCAGGCTGGAGTGCAGTCGAACGATCTCAGCTCACCTGCAAACCTCTGCCTCCCGGGTTCAAGCGATTCTCCTGCCTCAGCCTCCCAAGCAGCTGGGATTACAGGCTTGTGCCACTGCACCTGGCTAATTTTTTGTATTTTTTAGTAGAGACGGGGTTTCACCATGTTGGCCAGGCTGGTCTTGAACCCCTGACCTCAGGTAATCCGCCCACCTCAGCCTCCCAAAGTGCTGGAATTACAGGCATGAGCCACTGTGCCTGGCCAACTCAGCAGATTTTTTTAAAGTTAAGAACCCAGAAATCAACCCACACATATATGGAAACTTGGTTTATGACACAGCTAGCATTGCAAATCAGTGGGGAAAGAATAAATATTTAACAAATGGTTCTTGGATAATTGGTTATCCTTATTGTTAGAGTTTGAATATTTGTCCCCTCCCAGACTCATGTTACAATTTAATTGCCATTGTAACAGTATTAAGAGATGGAACCTTTAAGAGGTGATTGGGCCATGAGTGCTCTGCCCTCATGAATGGATTAATGGCATTATTATGGGAGTGGGTTCCTTATAAAAGGGCAAGTTTGGCCCCCTTTTGCCTGTCTCTCTCTCTCTCTCTCTCTCTCTTTCGCCCTCACCCTCTCTTTGCCTTTTGACCATGGGATGACACAGCAGGAAAGTCTTTGCCAGATCTTTGACTTCCCATCCTCCAGAACTGTCAGCCAATAATTTTCTATTTATTATAAAATACCCAATCTGTGGTATTTTGTTACAGCAGTGCAAAATGAACTAATATACTTATTTAAAAGAAAAAAAAAACAGAGGCTAGGCATGGTGTCTCACGCCTATAATCCCAGCACTTTGGGAGGCTGAGGCAGGAGGATTCCTTGAGCCCAGGAGTTCGAGACCAACCTGGGCAACAGAGCAAGATCCCATCTCTCAAAAAAAAAGAAAAATTAGCTGGGCATGGTGCCACATGCCTATAGTCCCACACTTAGAAGGCTGAGGTGAGAGGATGGCTTCAGCCCGGGAGTTCAAGGCTGCAGTAAGCTATAGATCGTGACAGAATGAGACCCTGTCTTAAAAAAAGAGAGAGATACAGAAAGAAAATGTACTTTTACATCACACTGTACACAAAATCAATTCTATGTGGATTAAAAGCATAACTATGGAAGAGAGTACTATAACATTAAAGAAGACAGTGTAGAAGAACATCCTTAACACCTTGAGGAGAGAAATTTTTCTTTACAAGACTCAAAGGGCACAATTATTCAAAGAAAAGTTTGATAAATTTGACTGTATCAAAATTAAAATTATCTATTTACTATTAGGCACTATAAAGGTAGTGGAAAACAGAATGGGAGAAGATATTTGAACCCATGTAACTCAGAAAATTGATATCCAGAATATATTAAAAAAAACTCGTACAAACCAATAAGAAAAGAAAACCCAAGAGAACTATGAGCAAAAGATTTGAACAAGCACGCCATAGAAGAGACCCCATATGAAAAGATGTTCTGTCTCATTACTAGTTGGAAAAATTTATATTAAAACCAAATAAGAAAGATTCTCAAACTCACCAGATTAGCAAAAATTGTATCTGATAATATCAACTGAGCATTGGCAAGGATATGATGCAACCAGCATTCTTACACGTTGCTAGTAGAAGCATAATTTGGTACAACCATTTTGGAAAACAATTTGGCATTACCCATATATTTGAAGAGATACACACCAATGACCCGACAGAATTACTCATGCATTATAAAGAAACTCTTAGACATTTGTAATAGAAATTGTGTTATTAAAATATTCTTTACATTACCATTTACAGTAGGAAAAACTGGAATTTGCCCAAATGTTTATCATGGACAATAAGTTGTGGTGCATTCATATAATGAAATACTTGACAACAATGTAGATGAATACAATATAACACAATGACATAGAAAAAACATAGGGATTTAATACTGGGTGAAAAAACAAATTACAGATAAATGTGTTCACATTTTTTAGTCCATTTAAATATTGATTAAAATATCCACTAAACTGTATGCTCTTTAGGAATATAACCAAATATGGTAAAATTATAAAGAGAACTAAGATACAATAAACACAAGATTTAGGAGGGTGATCACATGGCCTCTGTAGGGGTAATGAAGAGGATGAGGTGGGAAATAAGAACACAGAGGCCTCCAAAGATAATAGCAATGTTCTTTATCTTAAATTGAATGATAGGCATATGGGTGTTAATTTATGATGATTTCGTATAACTTTTATAAATTTTTGTACATATATTCAACATTTAATACACAGTTTTTTAAAAAGAACATCTGCTGACACATAAAAATACATGATATTCTGTTAAAATGATCATTATAAATAATACACGGTAGTGGCATGGAAACATGCTTTTGATATATTATTTAAAAATTAGAAAAGAAAATTATGTATCAAAAAATATGATTACAACAACACAAAAATTATAGTTATAAATGGGCATGAAGCAAGGGAAAATAAAGACATGATTTTTAGTTTTTCTTCTTTATTTCTATCTCCATTAATGTGGTCATAATTCTGTGCCAATAATGAAATGATATATTTAAAACAGAAAATTGATGCTCTAAACAGGTCTCCCATTAAAGCTATTTAGACTATGGGCCAAATAATCAAGGTACCACCATTCACCTGGTGGCAATTTATCTCCACTGCAAAGTAGCCAAGGGAAAAAAATCAATGTCCTTATTGCTGCATTTGTGAGCCTTGCTTTATATAACAACCAAAACATGCCTCATCAGCCTCCCTCATCCATGTTACCTTCATCCTTGCAGCCATAGAAACACAGCACCTACAGCACCTAGACAGCTGAGAAAGGCCACAAAATCTTCTCGAAAGCCAACTCTGCAATCCAATGACCTCATTTTGTAAAAGGCATTGATAGTAGTTCTACAAAAGAGAAAAGTTATGATCAATTTATTCTTTGTTACTAATGGACAAAGAGAGAAAATATAACTTAAGGAAGCTGTATCAGGTTCTATTTGATTTGCAACCAAAACTGTTCTTACTATTCTGCATTTAAGTGTCATGGATAATTCAAAGTCATTAGAGACACATAATCTCAACCACATTAAGAAATAATCTAAATGTTTTTAAAAGTGATACAAAAAGTAGTGAGGAGTATTATTACTTCCAGTTGTACCTGCCCAAATATTTAAGTTTGCAAAAGAATAGAAAACGAAGTGCAAATTATTGATGGTGTTGAAATGACTTTAAATCACAACTGAAGTGTTCATACCATCAAACTTGGAAGGAAAAAAATCAATACTGCTATATTGAAGTTAAGAATAAATTAGAGGCATGTAAAAGTCTGGAATAACAATATGCTATAAAAATTACTGATATAAAAATATGCCATTTAACAAATTTGATACTACAGAGGCATAAAATTCTACATAGAGTCTGGAAGCAACCATGTGAACATAAGGAGGTAGCTGGGGTAGTGCCAACATGGTTAATTCAGAAAGAAACTCAAATTTATAACTGGTTAGGTTTAATTTCTGTTTTGAAGATAAATTACATGCCAGAAATCTATATGCTTCCATTTTTTCTACTGATATTTAAAGGTAAAAACTGGACAATATAAAAAATATATTTTCAGTAAATATTTTCCCTCTTTTCTCCCTCAAATCTCATGAATACCTCAGTTCACACACATATGCACACACACACACACACACAGACACACACACATTTAGATGCATACCTCCCAAGCTAGATTTTCAGTAATGAACAGGTTACCAACTATAATGTAATATATAGGTAGAAAATACAGTAATTGTTTAAAAACTACTTGCATAATTTCGGTGTTTAAAAGAATGTTCAAAGATTTTTAAAGAAATTTATTTATGAAAAGTTGGAAAAGAAGCCTAAGTTGATTGACAGTTTGGAGTTTGTGTTTCCACCATCTGATCATAGCCAAAATGCAAATGCGATTAAGTTCTGAAAGACAGGAATTGCAAAGTGTCTGCAGCTTATTAGAATCTTCCCTCTAGGTACCATTCAGCAAGGGCATCAATCAAAGGTGACCCCCCCGCTTATTGTGATAGGAGCCTCTTAGATTAAGGAAGGGGAAATATCTGGTTTATTGGTGGAATTATTATTGAAAGATCAGATTCTAAATTCATGCCTGGGATCAACAGGAAAAAGAACAGAGGTGGTTTATCTCACGGTATGGCATACAAGGAGAAAATGATGGCAGAGGTGCCATATCTTTGTCCTAAGCAAATTCTGCAATTACCTGCATCATTAGGAGATGAAACACACTCACACACATATACACATACATTTACAAGTACATTTCTTCATGTACATAAAAGTTACATAAATGCAAAACCCAATGTGTATAATCATTCAACAAAGATATTCAGCAGCTCATTTAGAAAATCAATTTTTATGCATCCATTTGACAAACTGAGTCATAATTATAAGTACCACACGTTGTTCTAGGCACCTAAAGATACAAAATAAGAAGAATTGGTCATGCTCCAATCTTATTCACAATCTAAACTAAAAGATATAAAAATCATCTAGTGGAGGAATGTACAAAGTATTATGAAGGCATAGAGAAAAAATAACTAACTCTTCCTAAAGGAACTCATAGAGCTTTCTCAGAAGAAGTGACATTTGCTTTTGGTCTTGAAAGACAGATAAGGATTTGTCAGGTGAGAAGATTGGTAAATACATTCCATTCATCAATTAATCAACAAACAGGGTCTTTTAGTTTTTCCAGGATCTGTGCATGTTACTTAGAATAGAAATACATGCCAAATTGCACATTCCAGGAGATGTAGTCTAGCAGTTTGGAGGCAGGTGAGTAAGATCCCATAAAGAAACAGATTGAAGGGAATGGTAATGGATATTGCGATTCAAAGGAATACTACAGGAAGTTATCTTACAAGATGAATAATATCTTTCTAAATCACTCTCTTGGGAGTTCTATTTCCACATGGGATGTAAAAAGCTAAAAATATATCTGTCCAACGTTCACAACAATAAAGCCGGATAGACTACAAATCAGAGCTTTTCTTGAACTATTAGAGAGTTGCAATCATAGGACAAGTAACCTGAATTCTAAGGAAAGATGGGCCCTCCAAGGAGAGCCAGGACATGACCTCTGGTTCACCTGAGCCAAAGCACCAGAGAAAGAGACACTGGGTGGAATATAAGTGGGTAAGAATTCAGCAAAAAAATTTAACTAATTGCAAAAGGTCAAATGTGACCTAGCTTTTACCTCTCTCAACTCATGGCAGCTACACTGCAACCATTTGAAATAATAGGTTTGTATAGAAAGGCAGCAGCTTATTTCAGTTCAGGAATAGCTGGGTTTTCCAACCCTGTCAGCCCCTGCATTTCTAGACTCTCTCTATTCCCTCTGTTTTTGCTCTCAAACCAGCTAATTCTTGCCTGATTTCAGCTTATTCTTGGAAGATGTTGCTTAAAACAGAAAGTAAAAGCCAAAACACGCTAGCACTCTGGCTCCTTGTAACCACTTCCCCTCAAGTACTCACATAAGGATCAAATAAGTGATCTTGTGTTCATTGAACACAAGAAAAAGTCTTCAAGTGGTTAAAAAAAAATGCTTATTGTGAGACTATACTAATTCATTAACTTCTATATATCTAAGAATCCCAATCTATTCCTATTTCAAAATCATTACTAACAGAAAACAAAACAGGACTAGAAACAAAATAGAGTACAGAAATACAACCATATATAAAGCAATTCAATGACAAAAGAAAAATCTCTTCAACGACTGGGTTGGAATAACTGGATATCCAAAACAAAAAGGGAGAGAGAAAGAACCTTGACCCCTACCTCACACCACATCCAAAAAAACCCATATGAGAAGGGTTATAGAGTTAAATGTAAATATAAAATAATACAGTTACAAAGGAAAAAAAAGTGGAAGAAAATGTTTGCAACCTTGCAATGGGCAAACATTTTTCAAGAACATACAAAGCATAAACCATAAAATAAAAACACTAATAGACTGTACTACCTAAAACTGTAAAACATTTGCTCATCAAGACACCGTCAAGAAAATAAATCACAAGCCACGCACTGAGAAAAAAAATTCAGTAGATAGATAGATATGTAGATAGAGCTATATATAGTGAATATTTTAGATATAAAAATATAAAATATATATACATTATATATTTTTATAATTTATACTTTATATATAAATTATATATATTATATATTTATACTTTATATATAAATTATATATATTATATATTTATAATTTATACTTTATATATAAATTATATATAATATACTTATATATTTTATATATTATAGATAATATATTTATGTATTATATAAATATAAAATTTATATATAAAATATAAAATATATCTATATATAGTGAATATTATGTATATATATAATATATATCTCTCTGACAAATACATTGCATATAGAACATACAAAGAAATTCTATAAATCAATAATAAAAAGACAAATCATTTTTTAAAGAAGACTTGGACAGCCACAAAAGAAGATATACAAATGGCCAACAAGCACATATAAAGATACTCAACTTTATTATTTATAAGTTTCATGCAAAGTAAAACACACACATATACACACATACACACATACATGACTGAAATTTTTTAAGAAAAGATTAACAACATCAAATGTTGGAAAGAATGTGGAGCAATCCAAATTTTCATATATTGCTGCTGGGAGTATAAAATGATGCAATAACTTTGGAAAACTGTTTAGTAGTTTCTTAAAGAGTTAAACATATGTCTACCCTGTGGCCGGGCAATTCTACTCCTAGATATTTTCCCAAGAGAAACGAAAACCTATGCTTACATAAAGCCCTATATAAAAATGTTCATAGCAGCTTTATTCATAATAGCCAAAAACTAGAAAAAACCCAGATGTACGTCAACAGGCAAAAGTGTTTTTTTAAAACTGTGGCATATTCAAAGAATAGAATATTACTCAGCGATAGAAAGAAATGATCTACTGATATACACAACATGAATGAATCTCAAAAGTATGTCCGGTGAAAGAAACAAAACACATAAGAACATATACTGTATGATTGCAGTCATAAGAAATTCTAGAATAAACTAAACTAACCTATGTGATAGAAAGCAGATCAGCAGTTGATTGGGGGGTGAATTTGGAAATTGAGTGGGAAGAAGCATGAGGGAACATCATTCTGGGCTGATAAAAATATTTTGTGTCTTAATATGCAGTTATCAAAAGTGATTGAGCTTGAAGATTTGAGCATTTCACTGTATATAAATTATACTTCAATTTTTTAAAAGGTTAATAAATGTTGTTGCTAAAGGATTAGACTTCAGTTAGTACTTCCCTAGATATAATTTCTAAAAATGTAAATTTTTCCTAAAGTCCTGGATCTGCACTGACTTTTCACATACATGAAGCTTAATTCTCCTTTTATTTCAACGAACTTTCTACGCTTAGGTTGGAGGAGTGGTCATCCTACCCATCTGAAACGTTCACCTCAAATCCTTGAGGCAGGGGGAAGTAGCATGTCAGAAGAAACTGTGAAAACAGTGGGATAAATCGGGAATATTACAAAAAGAATAGACCCACCCTACTATGGGACTGTGGTTCAGAGCTAGCTCTCCAAGTGTGAAACCACAAAAGGCAGCTATCAGAGAGTGATTCTTCACATGCACCCCCTCTGTGCACAGATGTGGAGGGGCAGTGAAAAAGTCTTGCCTTATGTTTTCAACTAACCATAAACTGAACAAGTTACCCAATTCATTGGCTTGAACTTTTTTGTTTTGTCTTTACAGCAGTCAACTTTGAATTTAATCTTGGCTGGATGAAGCCACCTGAGTTTTGCTTTTACAAAAGACTTTGCAAAGAGAGGAACACAAAGACTTTCACTTAAATGCCTTGTTTTGCAAGTGCATTAAGTCATTGGTGCCCACCTCAAGTTGGTTTTACATCCAAAAAGAACCAATTTGGCTCATAATCCCTGACAGCAGCTGGCACAAACTGAGCATACCACTACCATCTTAGAACTGAAGTCTTTGGGCATACCTGCAAAGGGAAGAAAAAGTTCCAGCCAAGGAAGTCAATAACTTCCTTTTTAATGTGCTTATTCAATGCTGAGACAAGTATTACTGGATTTTAGAGACATTTGGAATAAGAATGGAAGTTTGGTGCACTTGGTCACAGGAACACACTGTGACTTCTCAGACCTAGAAACAAATTACTTATTAATTTTTTAGGAAAAAAAAGCATCTTGATGATGCACTAGGTCCTTGTTATTTACAAATGGATTAGTCTTACAGAATCTGATTCTAGACCACGATGCTCACTAGTAAAAGCTACAAGCTAAGTATAATTTCTCCAGTTGTGACTAGTGTATGCAGAGATAAGAAGCCTCTAGCCTTCTGGCTAGTACTGGCCATTAGCTTAATTTGTATTCATCCTTAAACAAATATTATATTCTTAGAGCAACCATGATATGATGACTTTGGTACACTTATGGTACACTGCAGTCCACATAGTAATCTCCTTTCTGGTAGTATATAACCTGATAGATATACTGTTATTTAATTAAGGGAAGTATATATGAAGTTTTAATTTTTTAAACTATGTTTAGTGGCTAATTTTCTGATTTTTCTTGGTGGACTAATACCCTTTTTCTTCTGTGGCAACTTCTTGGCAAGTTCATCTACTACATCAGTTGTTCTACCCAGTTGTACTACCTAGTTGTTCTACACGATTCAGCTCTGAGTCCACTATTATGTTTCCTCACTATCCCCTCTATTTACAGATTCCTCCCGTCACATTATTTTAACCACCAACAACTTTATTGAAGTTCTCAATTTTACAACTTCAATCCTTTTGTTGTTTTTATAAATCCCAATCCAAATGCTTACTAGATGCATTTTCACTTGGATAACTCAACATGCCCCCAACCCTGCATATCAAACCAGCACCACCTCCCATTTTCCATAATATCTGTTAATAGTAACACTGGGTAGGAAGACTCCCAAATCCATAACTTTACTTGCTGATTCACTTTTCTCTTTTCTTTATCTGCATCCCATCAGTATCAAGTCCTGGTAAGTCTTCTTTCGTAATGTTCTCTCCTCACCACCATCTCTGTTGTCCAATCTGACAAGATCTCTCTCGGACTACTGTAACAAGCTTGTACTAGCTTTCCTGAGTGTCAACTCCCCTCTATTCTCCAAATAGCATCAAGAATATCCATTTCAAAATGCAAAATTGAACATGTTAGCTCCTGATTTAAATGTCCAATACCTGCTTGTTGCTTCTGAAATGAAAACAAAGAACCCAGTATTATCTGGCTCCTGCCTTTCTTTCCAGCCTCATGTCAGCCACTCTCTACCTTTCTTGCTGTATGCTAAATCTCCTGGTCATCTTTCACATTTTAAATCCATGCTCCCTGCCACAGGTCCTTTGCACACACTGCTTCCACTGTCTGGAATGCTGTTGTCCCTTTCCTTACCTCCCTTTGCATAGTTTACTCCTATTCACCCTCCCATTCTCAATTCAAACATCTGTTGTTGTTTTTTTTCCCCAAAGAAGCCATCCCTGATCTCTATCTGCACAAACTAGATCAAATTCAATTCTGTTATACATTCTTATATCTTCTTGTACTTTTCCTTCACAGCATCATCATATGTATTTGTCTGATGAATGTCTGACTCCCTTACTGGTCTAAGAACTCTAAAATGGCAAGAATCATGCCTATTTGGCTCACTATTAAATCATCAGTATATAGCACAATGCCTTGCACTTACTAAACATTTGAATTAATGAAAGAAGATTTTTATATTTGTCTCTTTTTTTGTCTTCTCATTGTCACCACCATTGCTCTGACCCTTTCTAAGCTCATGCTTTGGAGACCAAAGTACTATCTGGTCTTCTGTTCCCAACCCCTCCCCTTTCTAATTTAATTTGCACATCTCTAGATCAATCATCTCAAAACATTGTTTTTATTGTGACCCTTTTCTGATTAAGAATCATTCATTGCCTACAGACTGAAGTTGAAAATCTTTACCCTAACCTTCCTATCTTTCCTTGATCAGTTCCTAGCCCATCTTTCCAGGTTTCTATATCTCTTCTCTACAAAACTCTCCAACTCAGTTTCATTGATGTACACATTCAGGGCTTTCCCCAGACCACTGTACAGGCTGTTCACTAAATGATGCCATGCCGTGAACGGCCCCTGGGATGCCATTTGTATCAGTGCTTATGTGAGTTACACCCCTGGAGTTATGCAAGGCACAAATGATGCAGCCAAACGTAGCAGCCCTGTAAACATCTTAAATTTGTTCTTTCTCGTTTCCCATGTTTGATAAAACTTTTGCTTTTTCTGGAATGCCTTCCTTTGGTCTCAATCCATCAAACTTTAACCTGTCTCCATAGTCCTTCCTTCTGTTCCTAGCAACAGTGATCTGCATTACTGAATTCCTATAACACATCAAACCTGTGCCATTCTCTTTATATATACTATAGTCTTTATATACTGGTTTTTAACTTTCCTTGTGCATTTTAGTGTAGAGTAGTAGAAAGAGCTCTGGAATTGGAGTCAGAAGTCATGCCTAGGTCTACTTCAGTGGCAGCAAGGGCACTTCAGACAGCACAAATGGTTGATCTCCAGTAAGTTGCTTAGCTTGTCAGAACCATCATTTCCTGTCTGAAAAGTGTGAGTAACAGTACCTCACAGGTTGTTGTGAGGATACTCCAAGGGTTTAATCCACAGCCTATTGAGAGAAGAATAATTTGCTTGCAGGCATTTTGCAAATAATGAAGCACTGTGATGGCTAATCTTATGTGTCAACTTGACTGGGCCATGGAATGCCCAGATACCTGGTTAAACTTTATTTTGGGGTGTGTCTGTGAGGTTGTTTCCAGAAGATATTAGCATTTTAATTGGTGAACTGAGTAAAGCAGATGGCCTCCCCAATGCGAGTGGGCAACATCCAATCCATTAACGGCCTGAATAGAATTAAAAAGCTGGGGAAAGTTCAATTTGCTCTCTCCCTGACTGCTGGAGCTGGACCATGTATCTTCTCCTGCCCTTGCATTCCTGGATCTCAGACCTTCAGGTTTAGACTGGGAGCCACACCAACAACTCTTTAGCTCTCTCGCTGTAAGGCCTTTGAACTATACCACTGGTTTACCTGGGTCTCCAGTTTGCACACAACAGACTGTGGGATGTCTTGGCCTCCGTAATTGCATAGACAAATTCCTTATAATAAACCTCATATGTGTATGATATATGTAACATAACCAATTATGACCTATTGGTTCTGTTTCTTCAGAGAACCCTGACTAATACCAGAACTATATAAAGTGTTTGCTGCTAGTTCGTAATTGTCTTGCAATCAGACTAGAAGCTCCTTGCCTGAAAGGGGTGGTGTGTCACACCCCTAGGTGTCTCTCAGAGTGCCTAGCACAGTGTCCTACACATGATAAGTGGTCAGTAAATATTTTCTGTGTAAAGAATGACATCCTGGCAGCTGCAGACAACAGATGACCACAGCTCTGCTGCTCATGGCTGCCATCCAGTCTGCAGTTGCTGTATTTAATGCCTCTCTTTCCTGCTGCACCCATCCCCCAGTCTGCAGATTCCAGGCCTGCATAGGCACCACATACTCAATTTGCAGCCATGAGCCTAGGAGCTATATAATATGGAGTCAGTAGCTTCTGGGTACTTTTCACTTTTTCCACTTGAAGTACAGAATAGGAGCAATGATAACATGCTAGAACTAGAGTTTCTTGTGCCACGTTAGGCACCATGGGAATTAGTACCATGAGTTCTCTCAGGAGGTCATCCAATTCTCTGTGAGTTGTATGCCCCACAGAAGGTGAATAGGGTGGAAATCACACCTTAGTCTAATCAATGGGGAATGTCAGGAGTTCTTACGTAATCATTTGAGAATGTATATCATCATCAACAGAGCAGGGCTGGGGGTAAGGATGGGGGATGGAAAAAGCATCGAAAATATACAAAAAAATTCCCTAAAATCTTAGAATTAAAAAAGATTTTTGGTGTCATTTAGGCCAAATTCAATACAATCAAATTCAATTTCTACTCTTAATATGTCTTGGGCCCTTTACTTACGTTTTAGTATGTCTTAATATGTCTTGTGCCCTTTACCTAGACATATCCAATGACAGAAAACTCACTGTCTATGAAGACAGTCCATTGATAGACCAACTGTAATTTTCATTTTAGAGTGCATCTAATCCAAACCCTGATTTCAGATTATGAAACTGAGGCCTGAAGAGTTAAGAGACTTGAATCATACAGTAACATAGAGGCAGAGCTAGAACAGGCTTCTGTCACCTTCTGCCCATAACAGAAAGCTACAACACTTTCACAACCCCATTCCATCTTTTACTCCTTCCCTTTGCTCCTGGATCTGTCTCCAGAGCAACAGGAACTTTGTCTAATTCCTCTTCCACGTGACAGCTTTCAGATTTTTCAAGAAAGCTTTATTTCAGCTTCTGAATCTGTCTCCAAGAGAAGTCATATTCTCCATCCCAGTCCTTTGAATTTTCTTCACTTGGCATGAGTCTATACCCTTTACCACTTTCAGCACTCAATCTCCCACAAGGTATAGACACTTTTTAAATTAGAGACACCCAGAATTGAACACAAAATCTTGGCGATGAAAAATACAGTGAGCCATGAGCTTCCCTTGATCCTGACCCCTCACTTCTACCATTATTCCCAAAGATTGCTTTACCTTTTTAGCAACCACATCATACTGCTAAACCTGCTATAATAATGACCTACCTAACACTTACTATGTGCCAGGCATTGCTCTAAGTACTTCACATGTCTTAACTCATTTAATTCTTACAATTCCAACAATATCAGTTGGAACTAATATTATCATCTTCATTTTCCAGGTAAGAAAAGTGAAACAGATTTTAAGAAACATACCCAAGATCATACAACTTGTAAATGGCAGAGCCAGGGTTCCGACCCAGGCAGATGGTCCCAAAGTCCACAATCTGAATTTAATGCTACAGCTGACTTAATGAAAAATAAACTTCTTTTTTTTAAAAAAAAAAAAATATATTGACTCTGTTCCTGGCTGAAGGGAGATCTTTCACAGTCTGTAAATGGAGGTGTTTTGCTTTCTTTTGCATGCATCCCTATTAAATTTCAGATTTGGTTTGGGTTTCTCCTCCTTCTCCTTTTAAACTTCTATACTTCAATATATTGGCTATTTTTCTCCAGGTTGCATCATCTTCCAAGGTAATAATATGCTTTCTAGCTGTTCCTCTTTAAGCTGTCAACAACAACAACAACAACAACAAAATATATATATATACACACACACATATATATATATGACTAACAAAGGGCCTGGTGACATAACTTGATTGGTAGCAAAAAATAGTGTAAAGGTTGACCCCTTTTCGCTCTTCTTGTTTGGCCAACTAAAAAGCTATGTAACTGTTTTGTTTGGCCCTTAACTCTTCATTTTATCAGAAGGATATGACAAAGAAACTTAACAAACACTGCGTGAAAATCAGGACATACTAAGGATGCAGGATTTACCCAACCTATGTGCCTAGAATACCTTTCAAAAATGGAAATAAGTTTAGTATGGTCTGATTTGTTCTTTGGAAATCTATGTTACCTCCAAATTATTACAACTTGTAGTAAATTACCCAAATGGTGCCTGAAGTTGCCATCAAGCTTACTGACCTTTAGTGTCCAATATTCACTTTTTGTCCTTTTTTAAGTTTATTGGAACTAATAGGTCTTTCTTACTCAAACCCATATGCACATTCTTTTAGTACCATAGGTGGTTGGTCATCTGAACCTAGGAACTAAAACATATTTTCATAACTTCAGACACTTAAATTCAATTGTCTGCTTGATATCTTCATTTAGATATCTATGAGGCATTTTCAATTTAAAATGTCTTAACCAGAGCTTCTAATTTTACCCCATTCCAAAACCTGCTCCTCCCACAGTCTTCCTAATCTCAATAGACAACTAAGCCAATGGAGTTGTTCTTGATTCTTCTTCTCTTACATTCTGTAGGCAATCCACTAGCAAAATCCTGTGGGCTCTGCCTTCAAAATATATCCAGAATCCAACCACTTCTCAACACCTCCACTGCTACATTCTGGTCCAAGCCAACTTCATCTCTCTTGAGGACTATTACAGTAGCCTCCTAATTGGTATCTCTACTTCCACTCTTATTCTGTGTAGAGATGCTATTGGCACCCTCAGGTTTCCTGGACTCCCTTTTATTAATTTGGTTGATGAGCCCCTTTCCCAGCTGCTGTGAATACCTCAAAGAGAATTGCCCTTGGGCAATGGAAGCCACCCCACCCCCCCCCACCCCCACCCAACCTGCAGGTGCTTGGGATTTACATTGTCTATCTGCTTCCCCAGAGTATTTACCCAATAAGCAGGATAAGGGTAAAAAGCCCCTCTTGCTTGTCTCAATGTGGGAAAAACTCTACAGAGTAACTTATGTTCCAGAACAAATCAGGCTGAAGCTACTCATTACCTGAAATCACATTATTGCCCATCCTCTACCCTGTTCCCTCCAGAAATCATGCACATCCCCATCAGGTTCGACCTCTAAGGAATTCAGCCTAACACATTTTCCTTACAGCACCCAGAGTGATCCTGTCAAAATGTTCACATCATTCCTTTGTTCCAAATTCCCCATTGGCTTCTGTCTCACTAAGGAAAAAAAATCCAAAGTCTTTGCCATGGCCTAAAAGAACCTACAATTTCTTCCCCAGCTAACTTTTTAACTTCATCTCCTTTCACTCTCCCCTTCCTCTGTGCCACTCCACTCTAATTGGTCTCCTTGACATTCCTCAAAATGCTATGCAAACTCCTGCCTCAAAGCCTTTGTACCCAAGTGTTCTCCACCAAGAAACTCTTCCCCCAGAGAACCACTAGGCTTCCTCACTTCTTTCAAGTCTCTGTTCAAATGTCACTTATTACAGAGGCCTTCTCTAACCACTCCAGCAAAAAGCAGCACACACGTCTCACATCCTATCACTCCCTCTTCATGATCTGTCTCTCTGTTCACGACCCTGTTCCTTCCATCCTCATGATCCTACTATGAGAATATACGTTCCCTAAAAACAGGAGCACTGCCTTGTACACTCTTGTTTTCCCAGAACCTAGAACAGTGTCTGGCATATATTAGGCACTAAATATATTTGTTGAATTATTTAAGTAGACTTTCTTTTGACTTCCCACACACAAACCCCAAAAACACACACACCTAAAAACTATCTTTGATTTCAAAGTCCTGTTAACAATATTCATTCTATTTTTTTATAGCTTGGGAACAATTACCTGTGACAGAGACAACAGAAGCAAAACAGAAGTTGAGTTGTTAACAACGTTTTGCTGTAATCTATTAATGAAAACCTTTAAAAAAGAAAGAAAGAGAAACATGGATAATATGTGGAAGTCGAGAAACAATAGAGCGTTGCAATCCAGAAAGCTTGAGAATTGCACTGTTAGCTCAAATGGCTCATAGTCAAGTTGCCAGGCAGATAACTCCAAAATACAAAGCACAGTTGCTACCATTAGGGAAAATGAAAGAAATTAAATTTAAAGTTAAGAAAAACTTGTGTAACAAAGATCATCAATATTTAAAATCAAAGCAAGCCCAATACTTATTTAATTAGATAAAAAGTCCTTTTTACTCACAGGAAGGGTTTTGTGGTAGGTTCTTGAAATGGACAAAAAGTAACAGAAGAATTTTGGATTTGTGGCACTATGAGTTATAAGTGGACCACGGAAATGAAACTAATGTCCACCCTATAATTTTTTAATGTACAAAATTGAGCCTTGTGACAGAAGTACTGATGGTCTGCGAGGCAGGGGTTGATCCAGGAAGGAATGTCACACTTCACTCAGCTCAAATCACAACTCAAAAATCTAGTAAAACACTCCTTACCCCACAGCTTAGGACATCACCTGAGCCTATCCCAAATACTCTTAATAATCCCTTATTTTTTACCAAAAAAAAAAAATAATTAATGCAAAGCATCATCAAAAGTCAGTCTGCACTGTGCATCTGTTAGCAAACAGGCCTGCAGGCAGTATTCATTCTAGTGCGTGTGCAGTGACTGGGGGGAGAGGTTTGTGTCAGGCTCCATACCCCAGGCCCCATAAATATGTATACCTACTGTGTACACACAAAATTAAAATTTAAAAAAATTTTTAAGTCACATATGAACATCTTTTCTTTTCAGAGCAGGGTATGTCTGTGGCTACATGTTTAGCCTCACTCAGAAATAACATCAAATGTCTAAACTTGAGGCCGTTCTCAAATGTGAGACCTTGCCAGTGCCACTGTTCTGATGACCATTGTGACTGGCCCTATCTTCCATCACTTTGAAAGTAACAAGAATAACTTCCCCGAACGTATTATTAGACTTGCGTAGTGAAGGGGGAATGCACCCAACATGCAAATGGAATAACTGGTGGGGGGCGTGGGGAGGGCAATTCAAAAGGCCAGTACTCTTTAATCATACTCTTTTCTTCAAGGCAAAGCCTGCAGATGAGGCTGACCCAGACTAGGGAGAGAAAACTGTACCTACCAAGCCAGACTAGGTTGTACTCATTACTCTCTGCAGATGATACCTCTTTTTTACCCCCATCCTGTATACATGACCCCAATCCTACAGTCAAGCCCTGGTCTCCTACTGTGTTTTGACAAGAGACTAAAGAAAGATGGGACGCCTGTTTGGGCCAGGTTGACCCTGCTGGCAGCCAGAGTAATGACTAGTGAGATTTCCTTGGAAGAGCTGGATGGGTCAGAGTCACCCTCCTCACAGTACCCATTGGCACTTGGGAAGGCTGGGACTTGGTTTCAGGAAGGGAGCCCCTCAGGTTCATTCTAGCTACCTAAATTAAAATTTTCCATCATGCTCATCGTGTTTTAATCAATAATCTGAATCTCTACATTCAGTGACACTCACTAGAGAAAAGTTCTATAAGGAAAGGGGTTTACCCTCTTTCTTTGGGCCTCATTCTCATGACCCTGAAAAAGCGGGATTGAAATTTACAATATTTGGCAGACACTTGGAATTGGGATTGTTTTGTCCATCCATTTTCTCTGCAGGGAAAAATAAAAATCCTTTTTACACCTGAAGGCTTTCTGTTTCCCTGCCACTGTACCCTAGTAAAGCAGCATCTCCCTGGCAACTTGTGCCCAGAGTAAGAAGAGAATACACCCTGGCTGTCTGTGAGGAAAGGGGTCTCCAGACTTACTCCTTCCTCCTCCAAAATAGACGTTCTGGTATTACATTCTATCCCTAATGATGGGGATTTATTTAGCTACAATGTTATCATCTCCATTAAGCCGCATGGAAGAGACACTTCTCTGCTTTTATTTATAACCTGAAGGGATTATTTTTGAGTTAAGGCTTTAAGAATTCACATCTATCAGGAAAGAACAGCTTGTGTAATGAACTTCCTGTTTTCATCATATTTGGACACCGAGCCTCCTTGTTGCCTGTTATTATTACCCAGTTAATATGAACTGCCTGGAGTTTATTTTTAGCTGCGTTGACTCCATTGTAAGGACGGCATAACTGCTTTCAAAATGGGAAAATGTAATTACGGGATCTAACACTAAGTTGGGGATATTCTTAGGTCCCTTCACAAGGCAATGGCTTAAAAAATGAAAATAGACCACTTTAAATGGCTAAATAAAACACAGTTATTTGATCTAAAATAGCCCATTGATCCTTTTACAAACTAAACACTTACTTCAAAGAATAGAGTCCCATTTTTGTTTAAGTGACCTAAACATACGAATTTATTTCCAAGTTCAGAGTAGCGGGAGGAGAGTGGGGAGAACTGGTGGAGAATAGAGGCAGGAAGGGTATAAGCATTATTTACCAAAAGAGAGAAAGATTAGAATTGTGCTGAAAGTACCAAAACTCCTACAGGCATTTGAGGATTGGAGAATATAAATCTCAGTGCCTTCCTTGTGTGCCATTCCGCCGTGTGCACAAAGTGCCTAAGTCAGCTCTTTCATGGGAGTGAAGGCAGTCTAGTGTCCAGTGAGCTGCAAAGGATCACTCTTCATGTTTGCTGTAGCCGAGGCAGTCATTCATACAGGCCACCACCTCAATGTCCACCTCCTGCATTATTCATTCATTCATTCAACAAAAATTTATTGAGCACCCAAAACATGCCAGACTCTGGGAATGAAATGGCAAATAAGATATCATCTTTGTTCTAAGAGTGACAAGTATGGTAGAAAGAATTTCAGGGGGTTCTAGAATCACAGAAAAGGGGATACCTAACCCATCCTGGAAGGGACAGGGGACAGCTTCCTGGAGGAGGTGATGTCTCAAGTCAAGTCTGAGGTGCAAGCTGGGCTTACCCTTGTAAGTCAAGGAAGAAGCTGGGGCTGAGACCCAGATGTGAGAAAGATTGTGGCAAGATCAGGTAGCCTGAGAGTGTAAGAGGAGAATAGATAAAATAAAAATTGTAGTGGTAAGTAGGAGCTTTGGAAAGCATAGTAAAGACTTTTAGGTTTATTATAATCATGGGGACAAGTTACTATACATTTCTAAGAGTGACAATATTTCAGAAATATCACTGTAGTTCCATCGATGTATGAATGGATAAACAAAATGTGGTACATACATACAGTGGAATGTTATTCAGTCTTAAAATAGAAGGAAATTCTGACACATGCTCCAGCATGGATGAACCTTGATGATATTATGCTAAGCGAAATAAACCAGACATAAAAGGACAAATACTGTATGATTCCACTTACATGAGGTACCTATGGCAGTCAAATTCATAGAGGCAGAAAGTTGAATGGTGGTTGCCAGGGGCTAGGAGAGGGTAAAATAGGGGTTTATTATTTAATGGGTTCAGAGTTTCTGTTTGGGATGATGAAAAAAGTTCTAAAGATGGATGGTGGTGATGGTTGCAAAACAATGGGAATGTACTTAATGCTACCAAACTGTACACTTTAAAATTATATGTATGTATATTATTGCATGTACAAATTTATTTCCAAGTTCAGAGTAGCAGGAGGAGAGTGGGGAGAATTGGTGGAGAATAGAGGCAGGAAGGGTGTAAGCATTATTTACCAAAAGAGAGAAAGATTAGAATTGTGCTGGAAGTACCAAAACTCCTACAGGTGTTTGAGGGCTGGGGAATATAAATCTCAATGCCTTCCTTGTGCATCACTGTATTTTATATATGTATATATATATAATAAAATATAATATATTATAATATATATATAGGATTCATTTGGGTAGTAGCACAGGAAGACTTAGTAGCAATTAGAAGCCCGCTCTGTGGGAGAAGAAAATATTAGGATAAAGTCCAGATTTCTGACCAGAAACTAAGTGAATGGTGATGAAACCAATCACTAGGAAGAGTGAGTGAGTGAAAAAAAAAGTGCTCAATTTTCCATAGAATAATTTAGAAAGGAAATAAAATGATGTTCTTTCGATAAGGAACAAAGGTATCACCATACCCATGGAATAAGAAAGATATAAGTAGAATGTAGTTAGACCTACAACCAAAATTCACATTTGCTTTGTGACCCTTCCAAAGACAGCAAACATGACCTCAAACGGGATGAGTGAAGCTGAAGGTGGAGTAAGACTCAGAGACAGGGTGAAGGGTGGAGTGAGGCCCAGGTCCTGAGGATGGACTCCGGGTCAGGGAACAGCTGCAGCACATATTGTTTGGTAGTTTTTCAAGTGCTTTTACATTTGGACTAAGTCATTCATATGGCTGCATCAGTGGACCCATTAAAATGTTCTGCTTCCTCCCAAGTCACCGCCCATCCCTCCCCTGAATGTTCCCCCCTTGCCAGTCTTCCAAGCCTACTCACTATTTTCCTAAGACACTACACCCTTAGATGCCTCCATAATTTCTCATGCTTATGCCTCTGTCTTAAATGCCTTTCTCCTTCCTTCAGGGCCTGGAAAATTTAAACTTATTCTTCAAGATTCATTTATTTTGAGTCTGTAACCAACACCTTTTAACTGGTGTTGGATACCATGCAGGGACTGAGATGCATAAAACACAACCTCTGCCCTGGAAGAGTCTATGTCAAAGCAGAGAGGGCAGACAGTGCATTGATAATTATAATAAATAGAGTACTACTGTAATTAGAATCAGGTAGCAAGTGGTATGGGAAAACACTGAAGGAAAATAAACTGCCCAGCTGGGTCAAGGGTGAGGATCACAAAAAAAAAGCTTTAACAGTTCAAATGGCACTTGCCTTAGAAAGCCTTCCCAGCTTTCCCAAGAAATTAGCTGCTCTTTCGT